>NC_000009.12:104584188-104735703 GCF_000001405.40 Homo sapiens
CTGCCTGTGTACTAAGAATTCTCTCATAATTCATATCTTTGTATTCTGTAGTTCTATCTCCAGAAATTTATCTTATCTCTAGTTGAAGCAACAGCAGATTAGATAGCCAAGTACATAGATATCAATCGTAATTACATAAAAATCTCAAAAAATTAAAAAATATGCCCAATAATATGAAAATTGTAGGCTATAGTAATTCCACTTAATAAAATATTCTTTAAATATTAAAAAAGAATATTACATACACTATAAAAAATGCAAAATCACAGAAAATTATTGATGTAAAGTGGCAAACGCTAACTAAAATTTATTTCTGCTGCAATTCTACTGGTATAAAGAAAAATGTTTGCATGTTGTCTGGAATTAACAAAAATATGAAAAACAGAAAGAATTTAAACAGTTGAAATGTAGGATTCTATAGAGTTAACTTAGTATTATTTACGCAGTACAAAAAAAATCAAATCTGTGAATTTGTGAGAAAAGTTTAACTTTTCTGAGAACTTTCGGACATTCTAACTGGAGCCCCAACTTATTATAATGCCATCAAATACAGATATATTCAATGAATACTCCAAGAAATGTATGGCTGGGGAAGGTTTTCTTTAGATCAGAATAACTGAGTCTTTGGAATATGCAGAAGTCAGGAACTGTATCCCTAGAGAATCCTATAATTTTTTTACTTACAACCTTAGGGACGGAAGAAGTTTGTAAAAGTAATTGCTGAATTCACCTCCAAAAAACTTGAGTCTCCCTTGAGTAAGCACCAACTTAAGAACAAATTATGGGAAAACTAGAGTTACATCATTGATCATTATGCTTAATATATTTTATTTCCTTGATATCCTCTTAAGAATATTCACGTACAGCCAAATTGCCTGATTGTGCCTACTCTTCCTCACATTTCTTTTTAGGAAAGAGGAGGCACCGTATCCAAATTGAGAATCTTCTGGTATCATCTGAAACGTACAAATGAAATTCAAATTCCTGGGAATTTTTTCTATTACTTAACAGCATGGAATGGTATGGATGATTTTAAAACCCAGTCAGGAGGAAAGATAAAGAGAGAAGTTTTTATTATGATTATTTCAAAAGAAAAACATCTTATCAACAAAGATTTTTGAGTTGACATGGTCATTGCTTGTGGTATTTCAAAAATATAAATATTTAATATATATATCAAGGAAAAAAATGCAAAAACTCAGTCATCACCTACCAGACCAGGAGATTTTATTTAAATTTTTCTCTTTAATTCCAAAATAATCCAGTGGCGTGCAGTCTCTTTTGAGATCACAGAATTAATTCATGTGAGGAAAAGAAAGTTGTTTACAATGCAACAGACTCATAAATAATAGGCTAATGGTTATTGTACTCAAGTATCTGGTCCACTAAGTCTTAAGTAACAGTAACATGGAGAAAGAACACACGGCAATTTATATATTATTCATATATAAACTATGCCTAATAAGGGTTTGAGAAAGCATATAATTAAAGGTATTTGCAGTAAAAATAGAATTAACAACAAGTAATATGAAAGAGAGGTGAGAAATAATTATAACTGAGTGTTAGTTCGAACCCCAGGCAGCCAGGGTAAAAGAAAAAACATTAAATTTTTGTGAGTTCTTATTTACATAATAAATCAAATTCCACTATACTAGCCCTTAATTTCCCACAATAGACCTGAAAGGAATTTGGGGTAGGCTTTCATTTGAAGTCATTATTGTAGATAATGTCTTTATAAATGGTTTCCAAAAGGGGTAAATTTATTCTCTATGTGCATAATTATCATAAAGACCCTTTTTGAAAGTTCATCTAATTAAATTGTGGTTTTATAAAATTTTTGTACTTTAAAATAAGTGAACACTGCAGAACAGTGGTATCCTTTACTACTATCAGATATTGAACATTTTCTGCATTGATCCCGCTGGGAGCTACAGACCGGAGCTGTTGCTATTCGGCCATCCTTTGAAATCTCAAATTAGTTTCTTTGTAAAAAAAAAAAAAAAAAAAAATTCATAGTAGTATTTGGGTTATTTTGACAATTAAGTGATAAAAATTATATGAAATGTCAAATACATACTAATACTTCACATGTTATAAATTGCCCTTCCCTTTGTGAGCTAAAATAATATGTCTTTCCTCATGGTGTATTAATTGAGGGTTAGAGTATATCTATAAATTGATAGTTGGCATGTCCATTAAACTTTGTGTAATATCAATGGTCTTAACTGATCTCTTTAGAAAAGCTGGAGATTACAAGATTGTTTCTTCTAGGGAGTATTTAGGATACAGATGTTACACGGTTTTGCTGAAAAAAAAATTAGTACTTTAAATATTAGGCCTTCAAGTAGCTAAGTTAATAAAGCAAAGCAAAACAAGGTTAGATGTTTTTCTAGAAAGTTAGAGTTTGACTTCTGGCTTGAATTAAAAAGTCACAAACTTTGCTTAGGCCTATTGCAACACTAAAGCAGCCCCAGAGCATTGAATCATAGACTGGTTGTTTCTTACAGGGGCTGGGAGAGAGGGATTTGAGGTGGCAGGATTCCAGCTAGTTTAAAGCCTGCTGCAAATACAAACTTCATCTTCTAGTAACAATTCTGTTCTAGGCATTAATGGTCTGCAATCTCCTTTGAGATCCTCTGATTAAGTTAGGAACTCAAGTTCTTTATCTTGGTTACCTCCAGAAAATAATAAAGACTGTTACCCAGAAGATTTTAAGTGTAGGGATATAAATGCTCTAGATCCAATACAAAAACTAGTGAGTTCCTGTGGATAATTGGAAAGGACACACCGGCACAATTCAGCCACATTGTGCAATCTCTAGACAAAATTGCTGTACTATTTCAATTGTTTCAACATTTTTTACTCTGAGTTAGTCTTCCTAACATAAGTATAGACAACTGCTTCAGCATTTTTCACTTTTGTTTACATTTTACTTTTATATATATTTATTTAGAAATGTAGATATTCAGAAAAGTAGAAAAAAGTTATCTAAAATAACCATTCACATTTTGGATATTTCTTTCCAGTCTTTATTTTCTGTCTGGGTTACCTTGGTTTGTTTAGGTTTTGGTTTTGCACACAATGTTATAATATAAACTTTTGTTTCTGTTTTAACTTAATTATCTTAAGATAATTTAAACATGACTTTTATGTTCATACAAACTCCTCACAAACATCATATTAATAGGTGCGTAAAGGCCCATTACATGAGTGTACTATGATTATTCAACAATTCCACTAACATTAGACAAAAATAAAAACTATTTTAAAAGATAATATCCAATAATAGCAAAGATCTGGAAAGAATAAAATTATTTGATACTAGAAGTCCCATGGAAAGTGATTTATTAGAAACTATTCAGCATCTTAACAATCTTCATTCCCTGTTCCCAAGAAGATTCTGGGAATCCATGTTAGGAAATTAAACCTAAGGGCAGAAAAACTGTAGGCACAACGCCTACAGGGTGTTTGTTGCTCTCTTCTTAAATTACACCAGCATTGCAAGAGTAATTCAAATAATTTATTCTATATTTTAATCTGAATAAACTTTAATTTATTATAAAGCGTCCATTATCCCTTTTTTCCCATTTGAAAGCATCGAAGCAGACTGGTGATTTCTCTTATAAGTATTTGCAAGTGAAATTATGATTGCAGCAACCATCTTAGGGCTGTTAGGATACTATTTATACCATAATTATTTTCCAAAATTAATTTCCAAATAGGAATCAATGTTTAGATGTTTCAACAAAAGAAAAGAGAGGGCAGTGTACCTGATTCATATCTTGCCTGAAAAAACTTCAATGCAGAGAGGCCTCTATGAAAATTTCATTGACAGATTCAGAGTAGGTTAATATATGCAGCTATAGTCATTCAAATTCCTATCTTACTACCAAAAAAAGTGTATGCTGGCCTACCTAACACTTTCTACCTTCTTTGTAATTTATGCCTAGAAAGTGGGATGCAGCTTGAACTAGTTGAAAGCCCTCATTTCCATAGCCAATAGACATATAAGCATCCAGCCAGGCGTAGTGGTTCACGCCTGTAATCCCAGCACTTTGGGAGGCCAAGGGGAGCAAATCACTTGAGGTCAGAAGTTTGAGACCAGGCTGGCCAACATGGTGAAACCCCATCTCTACTAAAAATACAAAAATTAGCCAGGCATGATGGCAGGCACCTATAAACTGGCTGCTTAGGAGGCTAAGGCAGGAGAATTGCTTCAACTCAGGAGGCAGAAGTTGCAGTGAGCCAAATCACGCCACTGCACTCCAGACTGGGTGGCAGAGTGAGACTCCGTCTCAAAAAAAAGGAAAAGAAATACAAGCATCCTTTTACGCTGACTATGTTGCCTGACCATTGTAAACTGGAGTTTTCATAGAAAGCAGCACAACTTGTGGGCAAATGACTAGCACAGAAATGGCAAATCCTGTACCAGAAACAAAGCCATTTGTTTAAAATATTAAGTCAAAATTCATTCATTGTATCAATTTTTTTCTGCTAGGGATATATTTTAAAGCTAGATAGAATACCATGAGGATGTTGAGATGTTTTCAAAATGATATTCTGTGATTTATTTGCTGTAAAGAAGAAGGTAATCTGCTAATACCTACGCTTTAAGTTTTTTCAGATTAAAGTCATTTGTTCCATGTTCTTTGGTGCACTACTCAGGTGCCTGAACTGGACTAATATTCCTTCTTTAGAAAAATACCAGCCCTAACTGCAAATTCATCAAGTAGAAGAGGAATGAATTTCATATGGACAGAGGTAAAAGGCAGGTTCTTCTCTGTGCAATTTGGTTGCTTGCATATATAACCAGAATTGATTGCAATAAACTACACAGAGGTATCTTCATGTTTCAGCAGTGTTCAGTTTAGCATTGTCTATTGTCCAATTGCTATTTTACACAAAATTGAAGTAGCAAAGCACTCCAGTGATATTGGAGTCAGATGGTCTGAAAGGCCTTGCTACTCAGGTATGTTCTGTAGACAAGCAATATCAGCATCACCTGGGAACATGTTAATAAATGCAGGACTCAGAACCACCACAGATTTATTGAATCAGAATGTTTTACAAAATTCCCCACATGATTTGTATGAAGACCAAAGTTTGAAAGCACTCCACAAGATAGCTGGGTCTCTTCCTCAGTTGTAAATTAAAATCATGTGAAGAGTATTATAAAAAAAGAAAAGATGCCTGATTCCCACCCCTTCGATTGAACTTACATCATTTTGGGAGGGTTATAAGGTATAGTTTTAAAAAAAGGGATTTAAAAACAAAAAAATGAAGCTTTGCATAACAACTCCCTCCCTTACTATAATTGTATATAAGTTTCTCAATAGTCTTCATTTTCTTCAGAGAATTATAATAAAATGAATAATATAAGAACATATTTGTAAACTATAAGAAACTAAGCCAATGGCATTGTTATTTGCATGGTATAAAATCAAATTACAAATCTTTTTCAAACAGATTAAAGCATGCTCTCTTCAAAATATTGATTTTCAAAGTGGGATCTGTGGATCAACTGCATGAGAAGTAACAGATGCTTGCTAAAAATGCAAATGAGTCCTCCCTGCCTCATACCTCTTGCATCACAATCTCAAGAAATGGAATACAGAGGCCTGCAATTTTTAATAAACTACCAATATAACTAACATGTGTCTTCAATTCACTGCTTTATGAGCTAGAAAAGGAATCCCAGAAGCTAACCTCAAAGCTGTTACCACCACTCTAGCTAGCGGAGATACACTTGCCCCTCCCACACCAATTATCTCTCACTTCATATGTTAATGCTGTACAGACTTGTTAAACTCCAGGTATGAAAAAATAACATGGAAAGGACCAATTGGACAGAGATAGAGTTCATTCTGCAAGGACTTTCAGGGTACCCAAGAGCTGAAAAATTCCTTTTCGTGATGTGCTTAGTGATGTACCTGGTGATTCTCCTAGGTAATGGCACCTTGATCATTCTGACACTCCTGGATGCTCGTCTCCACACACCCATGTACTTCTTCCTTGGGAATCTTTCCTTCCTAGACATTTGGTACACATCCTCCTCCATCCCCTCAATGCTGATACACTTCCTATCAGAGAAGAAAACCATCTCCTTCACTAGATGTGTGATTCAAATGTCTGTCTCTTACACTATGGGATCCACCGAGTGTGTGCTTCTAGCAGTGATGGCATATGACCGTTATGTAGCCATCTGCAACCCTCTGAGATATCCCATCATCATGGGCAAGGCACTTTGTATTCAGATGGTGGCTGTCTCTTGGGGACTAGGCTTTCTCAACTCATTGACAGAAACTGTTCTTGCAATACGGTTACCCTTCTGTGGAAAAAAATGTCATTAATCATTTTGTTTGTGAAATATTGGCCTTTGTCAAGCTGGCTTGCACAGATACTTCCTTGAATGAGATTATTATAATGTTGGGCAATGTAATATTTTTGTTTTCTCCATTACTGCTGATTTGTATCTCCTACATCTTTATCCTTTCTACTGTACTAAGAATCAATTCAGCTGAAGGAAGGAAAAAGGCCTTTTCCACCTGCTCAGCCCACATGACAGTGGTGATTGTGTTTTATGGGACAATCCTCTTCATGTACATGAAGGCAAAGTCCAAAGACTCTGCTTTTGACAAACTGATTGCCCTGTTCTATGGCATAGTCACCCCCATGCTCAATCCTATCATCTATAGCCTGAGGAATACAGAGGTGCATGGAGCTATGAGGAAATTAATGAGTAGACCCTGGTTCTGGAGGAAATGATGACACACTGACACCTTTGAGTTTATGCACAAAATACGCTCACAAGTTTGAGACAACACTTTTAAAGATAGACAGAAGAAAAGCAATTAAGGTCATGTTGAGTCAGAATTTCAGAGTTAGAAAAAATTTGAAGATTAAGAGTTTAACGATATTGCTTTATGAAAATGACTGATTTCATTAAAATGTAGAAACAAGTGGTCTGTGAGAGCAAACTTTTGGAAACAAGAAAAATATTTTAAGTAAGTCTTTCTAAGAAAATCCAGCTCATTAATTTTAACAATTAAAACACATTTTTCAGCCTCTTTTAAAAAAAACTATTTTGTATTTTTGTTCTTTTATTCTTGCTTTTTATTTTATCCAGGGACTGGATCTGGTCCCATCTTTCCCTTCCAGCTACATATTTCAACCTCTTTCCCTGTCCTTTCCCTCCCCCTACCTCTTTGCATAAGCTGTGTTCTATTTACTATGTAATTACCAAATTATATCATTTTCTTTCACACCTAATGACAATAGCACATGCTATTCCATCTGCATTTTCACATTTCTCCTTCTCAGGTGAAATCCTAACAATCTCATAAAGGACAGGTCAAGTGTCATATTCTCTGCAACACAGTCCAAAGCTTTCCCAGAGTTAGCTATTCCCTCCTCCGTGCTGCCCTGGAGTTTATCTGTACTAAGCGATTTTTCTTTTATACTCTAATCATTTATTACCTTCCGAAATTCTTCCCAATAGCAGAACTATGGCTCACTATCCTCCGCATAAAATCTAATGTCAAGTTAATTAAAAACAGTTGGCAATAATTAACTGTTGAATTAAAAATTTTAAAGGATGGTAAAATACGGTCTAAGTACCTGATTTAATACAGGGAGATAACTGAAATTTATACATTATTCCCTTTACCAAACTACAATTCTAAAAGATTTTGGTAAAATAACAGCTGATTTTTAAACATGGAGAAAAATAAGGGAAGATAAAGTCTGAATAGAATATACTGAAGAGATCATTTTGGCTAGGTAAGACCAAAAATCCTACTGCTTATTATTATCAAATAAGCAATTGCTGAGGAAAATATATCAATTGTATAAATTCTTATGGAACACTGACAATTTCAATTTCTTTCAAAAGCAATAGTCTCATTTAAAATATTTTCATTACAGTCTCATTTAAAATATTTTCCTTTCATTAGAAAAAACCTTGGACTGGCTAGTGAATAATATATAGTTGTATTTTTTAGAAAATATATATTTGCATAATATATAGTTGAGCTGCCTGGTACACTATCATAGCCTGAGCTGGGTGAGGAACTCAGCTCAGGCTATGAGCTGAGGCTATGAACTTACTTGTTCAGTAAAACCAGTAAAGATTTTTATAACCCAATGGCATTGAGAAAGGCATCCTTACTTGCTCTGCCCAGTATGATGTTTTGGAGCCTGTCCAGAATAAGGAAGATGTCAACGTGGAAGAGAGGCTCAGTTCAGGGTGTCAAAGTCCAAGCAGCATGAAAGGAGCATACACACAAGAGGAAGGTGTGGATCCTAGCACCTGGTTGAGGACCACTCATGCAAAGAAAAGCTGAGTGATAGAAGATATTAGAACACAAGTGGGATAAGGAAAACACCTGCACACCATAGGCATGTGGTCTGGAGTGAGTTGTCAGAGTCCTCATGGGGTAAGAAAAGCATCCGTGGTGGGATGGGGAGGTTCAGAATATGGGTGTCCAAGTCTGAAAGGGGTGAAGAGAGAATCCCTGAAGAAAGACCTAAATGGAGTGAAAAGAGCTCACCTGAGGAGGGGAGAAGAGTCAAGGTGTGTGAGAAACAGATTAGGGTGAAGTGGGCATTCTTGAAGGAAACAGCTTTGCCTGAAGTGTTGGAACCCAAGCCAGTTGAGAAGAATGTCAGCAATCACAGCTCACTGCAGCCTCAACCTTCACTGGCTTAGGTGATACTCCCACCTCAGCCTCCTGAGTAGCTGGGGCTACAGGCACATGCCACCACACTCAGCTAATTTTTGTAATTTTTTGTAGAGATGGGATTTTGCCATGTTGCCCAGGCTGGTCTCAAACTCCTGGGCTAAAGTGATCAACCTGTCTTGGCCTCCCAAAGTGCTAGGATTACAGGCATGAGCCACCATACCAAGCCAGGATTTCTTTCAAGGTAAGACTACTAAAGAATAATTATTTGTGTAGATGGAGGGAAGTTAGGGGGAGAGTCTGGAAATGTTTTCATTTTGTTCTCAATTTTAAAGGATTTTTCACTGAGTATACACTTGTTGGTTGGCAATTTTTTTTCAACACTTAAAAAATGCTGTTCTTTATATTTGGTATCCATTGTTTCTGCTGAGAAGTTGCCTCTGTTTTGTTGCTGCTTCTTTGAAAAAATGTGTCTTTTTTTTCTTTTCATTGCTTTTTATATTTTCTCTTTAGAGTTGGTCTCTGAAATTTTATAACAAGGCTCTTATAGGTGGCTTTTTTTTAACTCATCCTCCTTGATGTTGTAGATCTCCTTAAATCTGTGGCTTGATGTCTTTTATAAGTTTAACAATTTCATTTGACATTTGCCATTTTTTCTTCTATTACATTTCTCTTTCTCCTCTCCCTCTGAGCAACTAGTTATATATATGTTAGACTTCCATTATATTCCACGTAGCTCTCACAGTCCTTTCTGCATTTTCCTTCCTTTGTCTTCTCCATGTGTCCAGTCTGGTTATTTTCTACCGATCTACCTTCCAGCTTGTTAAGCCCTTCTTCAACTTTGTCTATTTTGCTATTAAATCTATGTATTTAGTTCTTAATACCAGTTATTGTGGTTTGGAGGTACATAATTTCAATTTTTTTAATATAATATTAAGTTGTCTGGTGAAGTCCTCATCTTGTTATCTATGCTCACGGCAGGTTAACATTAGTTATTTTAAAGTCTGCGTCTGATTACTTCTAAATTTAGATCACCTGATGGTCTTTCAATTAACTGTTTTTGTCTCTTGGTCCTGTTTTCTTATTCTTTGTAATTTTTTTATTAAATGCCAGATATTGTAGATGAAAAAAATGTAGAATCTCTGGGTGATGTTTTATTTATCCAAAGAGGATTTACTTTATTCTCTAGTAGAAACCCAGAGTAGGGGAGATTGTCTTAGGTCAAAGACGGGTTGAAATAACTTACAGTTGGATTTCAGACTTTGTAAATATAAGCCAAAATCTAATTCACCTCCTTTTCTTAGATTCTTTTCTCCAGAGTCTCCAGAGTCCCAACTGAGATTCTGGAGATTTCATTAAAAAGCTTTTTTTTCCTTAGGTCCCAGACTCCAATTTTGATCTCATAAACACAAGAGGCAGTCACAATCTCAACTAACATTCTTAGTTATTTTTTGTACAATCCTGGCTTCTTGTTCTGACTAGGCTAGAGTCAGCAAATGCCTGATGTGGAAAACCAATGACAACGGTGGGGACCACTCATCTGCACATCCCTTCAGTTTGGGACCTTGGCCTCTCAAGAACAGGGTGTCTTAGCTGGTCCAAAGTTCATGTTTTGTCTTCCTAGACCCATGACAATGCCAAAATCTATTTTCACTTTTTCTGTCTCTTAGTAGCAGCCCTCTGCCCAGTTTCTCAGCCTATCAAGCAACAATTAAGAATCAGCAAATGTCCCAAGAGAATAAAAGAGGAGTACAGAATGTTTGGCTCATTTAAATAAACTTCTCTTTTCTTCAGAATCTTAGCTTTTCATATCCTGACTTCTACAGAAATAATAAAGTCCATTTACTTTTTATTCTACGTAGATTTTTTTACTTTTCTTAGTAGAACCATTAGCTACTCCACCATATTACGAAGTGGATGCACAATATGGTAAACCTTTTTTTTTTTTTTTACATTTTTTTTATTTGACTCCCTGGCTGGAGTATGAGCTCTATGAGAGCAAGAATGCCTGTTCTGTTTACCACTGTATCTTGTGTGCTTAGAACAGTGCTAAGGACATGTTAGGCACCAGGAAATAAATGTTTAATTGAATTGAACATTGCATTGTAAAGATTTTTTTTAAATTTTGTATATTATGATGCTTTGACATTGTAAAAAACATTCCTGGCTTGGAAGAGACTGCCCTCCATGGGCTAGTGAATTCTTAGAGATAGCAAAAAGCTCAGGTAGGAGCATGCCTCTGACATGGAAACTAACGAATCCAGAGCCATACCTTCTTTATCTGGCCCTCAAACCCCAGTTCCCAGTGACAATTGCCAGACAACCAGAGATCACTCCTTTAGCCCAAAGCCTGCAGAAATTATTCAAACCTTCCAATCCTAAACTGTTCATTGTGCCTTGACTTGCCTTTCCTGTGGAAATTCCAATAAAGGCAGTGGCCTAAACCTTCCCTGCACACCTGTTTTTTGCCTCCTGACCATCCTGGTGGCTTCCCCATGTGGCCCTGTATGATATATCATGCCCCTTATCTCTAAGACTTGTGGGTATAATAAACTTTGCTTTCCTGACCCTCTTCTGTGTCTCCTCATGTGGCTGCACCTGACTAACGATTTCCTAAAAGACTACAAAACAACTATGTTTTGGGGACCTGATATTGGATCTGTGGTGGAAGGAAGATTGCTTCTGGTTATTGCTCTGCATATGTTTAGCACTTTAGAGTGTACCAGTGCTGGCTGCCTTGTGCTATCCTATTCTTCTTATAATTGATATTCGGGATCAAAAAACATTTTAACCCTGGATATAGCTGTCACAAACACAAGCAATATTTATTATCACAGTATTTAGGAGCTGAGAAAAATAAGGTAGAATGAGAAAACTTTATTTGAAAAATTTACTGTTGCCTGGCATTGGCTATGGGCCATTTAAAACTAGGTTTTGAGTTCTGTAAAAATTAAGATTCTCTTTTCAGCAAATTGCAGAAAACATAAAATATTTTTAGCACCAAAATATTATAGCAAATGTAAAGCCAATTTCATACGAAGTGTATAAATGAGCTCCCAGGAATCCTATAAAACATTTTTCTAATGATATTAGTAAGGCAGCACAGAAGAAATGCAAATAAGTAAAAAAACACCTGGACACTATCTGGTGTATAATAAATATAAAGGAAATTACAAATATCAAAGTAAATTGTGGAAAACATCATTATAATAGAGTCTCTTGGTAGATCTTGATGTGGCCAACGTAACTGCAGTATGAGTAGATTCTGAGACAGGATTTCTTGTGCCTGGGAGACTAAGAGATGGAGGCCCAAACCTCAGTGGAAAGCTTCACCTATTTTAGCACAGACCAGGGTCAATTGTCCTGAATATTTTATGTTCCAACTTACATTCTGCCTGGAACCCAGTAATTGGAACTCATATCACGAAGCATTTGAAAACTTAAGGTGAAAAAATATACTTGAGGATAAAGCTTTCTTTTTTTTGAGAAGATGAAAAGGTTATCTATACTAATTGAGTCAGTGTTATTAACAATAAGCTGACATCCCTTCTAACTGGATCCAAACATTAAAAACTGAGCATACCTCTTTTTTTAATAAGTATGGATCTATTTATTAAATATTCTGCCAAAATGTAACAGCAGCTAAATACTTTAAAAACTGTATGTTTCTGACCAACATTTTCCATGGGGTCTAGGAAAACTAGACACAAATCTACATGTCTGCAAATTTAAAGAGTATTACAGAGAGTAATGTTCTTTAGACTCATGGAGATTTCAGCATGAAAAAATATTACAGTCATAAAAACAGGGGTACAGTCTGAGAAATGCATAATTGTCAAATCTTATTATGTTGTAAACATCACAGGGTATATTTATGCAAACCTAGATGATATAGCCTATTATACACTGAGGCTACATAGCATAGCCTATTGCTCCTAGGCTACAAAGCTGTACAGCATGCTACTGTACTGAACACTATAGGCAATTGTGTCACAATGGTATTTGTGTATCTAAAATAACAAGAAAAGTCACAGTAAAAATATAAAATTATAATCTCCTGAGACCACCATTATATGTTATCTGTCATTGATCAAAACGTTGTTAAATGGCACATGACTTTAGTTCCTTGTAGCTCTAGTTTACCTTAGATCAGCATTCATTCTGTATGCAGGGCATGGCCTCCAGAATTTCCCCAGAACCTCCAAATTTCCATGACATTGGTCTGAGCAACAAAGTGTCTTCACATAAAGAAGACACTTAATGAACTATATATGGAAACCCTGGAGACTTAATCTTTAGAACTCAAGGTAGTTCATGGCTATGATAACTCAAGATAATATTAAATAATATATTTTCCCCCAGGTTTTCATAGATAACAGAACATCAGTTTCCCCAGGCCAGTGGAGAATGAAAACTATGGCTTTTAATGTTAGTCTTTTCAGAATCATGGCAGACAACACATCCTGACATCTTCAAACTACCCCAGTATTTAGGGACCGAGAATAACATCTCATTTTTAAAGATTTCATTTTACGTAGCTTTTAGTATAATAGAGGCTGTCTGTAAGAGCCTGAAAAGGCTAATTGCAAAAAGTATATCAAGGATGTCTTATAAAGCAATGGCATATACAAATCCATAGAACAAAAAGAAGTATATGTGCAAATGTATAGCTATGAGGCAATTTTAAGAGAACTGTCGAATCCCTAGCAATGATGGGGAATAAGGGATTATTTGAAATTTTCTATTTGTCTATAGATATTATCCCATTACATTTTAATGTTAACAATAAGTTATAGGCCAAGGTGTACAAGCTCAAAATAGACTCATCACTATATACCCCTCATCTCACAAAATACAAGCCAATAAACATAATTTTCTAATAAGAGAGCTAACATGTTCCAGCAAAAAATGTAGAGTTGTTTTGTTTTGAACCCTCATTCTTTTACTTGTTATTTAATGATCACATATCATTTTAGATGAGTTGGTTGCCAATCTCTCCAAAATAAAAAAGACAACCAAAGACGTAAAAGAACTATACACTGAAAACTATAAAACATTGATAAAAAAATTGAAGAAGACATAAGTAAATCGAAAGATATTACATGTTCATGGATTAGAAGAATTAATATTGTGAAATGTCCATATTACCTAAAGCAATCTACAGATTCAATGCAATCTGTATCAAAATTCCAATGTCATTTTTCATAAAAATTGAAACAACAATCCTAAAATTTACATGGAACTAGAAAAGACCCTGCCTGGGCAAAGCAATCTGAAGCAAAAACAAAGCTGAGAGCACCATATGCTGCAGTTTTAAAATATGTTATAAAGTTATTGTAATCAAAAGAGCATGGTACTCAGATAAAAATAGACATATCAACCAATGGAACAGAATAGAAACTTATTTCCAAACACTGAAATTTATTTATTTACTTCTTTTCATTATGTATCGCAATCAGAGAAGTGTATTTTGGAGCTTTAGAACTTCGAGAGATGAATGTGAAACAGCAACGAGAACCTATCTGTTTAACCTTGGTTTCTCTAATTGATTTCCATATTGTGATTATAAAATTACTCTCACCTTTCTCATTTACTTGTTAAAATTTTTTCTTCTCAGTAGGTGTTTTACTGCCTCCTTCACATCCTTGTTTCTAAGACTGTAGATTAAAGGATTCATCATGGGAGTCATCACCCTGTAGAATATGAATATAAGTTTGTCAGTGGCATCCAAGTCATCTGAATTAAGTGTCTCTTGAGACTTGGGCTTCATGTACATGAGGAAGATGGTCCCACAGAATGTTATCACCACAGTCAGACGAGCTGAGCAGGTAGAGGAAGGTTTGCTTCTCCCCTCCGAAGAGCTAATTTTGAAGATGCTCAAAATGATTAACGTGTAAGAGACAATAATTAATAACAAAGGTGTCAATAGGAACAATGTTGTGGTCACAAGCAGGATGAACTCATTGCCTGAGATGTCAGCACAGGCCAGTTTCATGACAGCTAGAATTTCACAGGTGAAATGATTGATGATGTTATTCCTGCAGAAAGGCAATTGTACCACAAACACTGTTTGTACTGCAGAATTGACAGCTCCTATGATCCAGGACCCAGCTGCCATGGGTACATAGGCATCCTTACTCATGATGATGGGATATCTCAGAGGGTTGCAGATAGCCACATAGCGGTCAAAGGCCATCACGCCCAGAAGCACACACTCTGTTGTCCCCATGGCCAAGCTGAGGAACATCTGCACTGCACAGCCAGAAAGGGAAATGGTCTTTCTTTCTGAAAGGAAGCTCACTAGCGTGGAGGGAATAGAGGTGGTGGTGTAGCAGATGTCCAAGAAGGAGAGGTTCCCCAGAAAGAAGTACATAGGGGTGTGAAGGTGAGGGTCCAAGATGCTGATTAAAATGAGAGTACCATTCCCCAGAAGGATGACCACATACATTATGAAGATGAGCACAAAAAAGAGTAACTCAAGTCTTGGGTGACCAGAAAGTCCCTTCAGAAAAAATTCCACCAGAATGGTGTGGTTTTCCCATTCCATTTTACTCCCTCTTTAGCTTGTAAGACAGAGCATGTTAAGACAAATATTTATCTTACTCTGATTACTTTCAAGCATGTGTCAATGAATATGTGCCATAATTCCCAAGGAAAAAGAAAAATAAAATGGGAAAAGACCAAAGAAAGAAGAGAGAGCATAAAGAAAAGTCTACAGAAAAGAGGGAATTATGAATGGAGAGAGGGAAGGGAATGAATGAATGAATGAATGAATGGAGAGAAGGAAGGAAAGATAAAAGTAACATGTTTCATGCTACAGCCACTTAATTCATTTAATATCATCACAGTTCTAGGAAAGGGGTATTAGTATCCATATTTTACAGATGAATAAATCAAAGCGGATATGTTAAGTAAACTTGACCAAAGGTACATACTATATAGCAGAGCTAAGATTCAAACCGAAATATTCCTGTTGAAGTCTGAACTTTTTGTCATATTTGTCATCACATAGTAAACTGAAGGTTATAATAGAAATGAGCATTGTATTATGTAAAACTGAACACTAAACTATTTTATTGGCTATAAATCACCACACAATAGATCAATGCTCTTGTCACTCCTTGAAATTATACTATGTTACGTATATTGTCTGTCTTTCCCAGTAGAATGTAAACTTCATAAGGGCAGGTACTTATTCTTGCTTATTTCCACAGCCCCTGTAGCTAGAATAGAACAGACACCGAGGTAAATGTTCAAAAACATTTGTTGGATGCACAGACAAAATCAAAGGCAAAACAATTGCTATATTTCTTACTCTGCGCCAACCCTCTATTATTTGTTTTCTCTGTGCATTACATAATGGAGTCTGAAAAGCAAGCCTATGAGGTAATACTGTTACTCTTAGTATCACCAAGCCTATTGTGTAGAGGGGAAAATAAGGCACAGAAAAGTTAAGTAATTTGCTTAAGGTCAATTTCATAAAGACAGATAAATGAAAGAGCAAGGACTTAAACCCAAGCAGTATGGCTTCAGAATTCGAGCTCTTAATACTCAAAACTTAATACTCAGTACTTAATAACTTAATGCTTAAAGAGAATTTGCAAAGAGAATTTGGCTCATGGGCTAGAATATCTTGCAATCTCACTAACAGTATTAATATTTCAAAAGAAATATCAGATAAAAATGTGATTGGTCAGTAAGGGGATTTCAATATGGTAATTTGATAGCAGTTGATTTTGATGCTTCATATTTTGCTAGAAAAGTACTCATTTCTATAACAAATGTTTTGTCACAGAGTTGCATTTGATCATTATAATTCTTGTGTCCTCCCTTACATGAAAATTTCTCATTTTCATTATGATGCCTCTTTGACTTTTTTTTTCCTTTATTCAACTCACAAGGGGTTTTCCTATATTCCAGGTCTTTAAAAAAAAAAAACAGCTTTAGGATAGATTTATTCTCTTGACTTTTTGCGTTTCATTAAGTTTCTATCTTCATAAATTTCTTGTTTATTCGGATCTATTTTTCTAATTTTCTGATTTCTAATTTCTATTTTCCAAATCTATTTTTCTAATTTCTTGAAATAAGAAGACAAATTCTTATTTCCTCCTTCTTACTCGTCTATTTCTTGCTCTAATGAAGGCACTTAGAGCACTTTTTGTTTTATTATAGACTTTGTATTTTATGGGAATTTTTTTACTGGTTTCTAGATAATTTTTTTGTTTGTAAAGTTCCTCTGAAATCCAAGCATCTTTCTTCATTATTTAGTGACTGAGCATTTTCATTCTATTTTTACTATTTATTTCCTATTTTATTTTATGTATTTATTTATTTATTTATTTATTTATTTATTTATTTATTTTTCTGAGACGGAGTCTCCCTCTGTCATTCAGGCTGGAGTGTAGTGGTGCGATCTCAGCTCACTACAGCCTCCACCTCCCAGATTCAAGTGATTCTCCTGTCTCAGCCTTCTGAGTAGCTGGGACTACAGGCATGTGCCACCACGCCTGGCTAATTTTTGTGTTTTTGGTAGAGACAGGGTTTCACCATGTTGGCCAGGCTGGTCTTGAACACCTGACCTCAAGTGATCTGCCCACCTCAGCCTCCCAAAGTGCTGGGGTTACAGGCATGAGCCACCGTGCCCGGCCCCATTTTATTTTAATATGAAAACATGACCTATAATTCTCTAGTTTGCACATTTCGTTGTATTTGACTATTTTACAATAAGCACATATTTCCTTTGGAATTTTAGATATATAAATAAATTAAAGGTATTTGTCATCCAAAAACAGCATAAAAAATTTCATAATTTCAAAGATAAAATTTTACTTACACACCATAAATTAGGAGCCCCTGTTTTTGTAAAGTGAGTGTTATCTTTACTAAAAAAAAAAAAATCTATTTTTTATAGTCTTTTCTGGAAGATTAGAGCTAATATCAAATTCCTCCCCTTCTCATATCTCAATTAATGTCAGGTATTCCCCTAATTTAAGATTTAATTCCTATCAATTGTGATTAAGCATCATTTTTGGACACAACATGTGATGGTGTCAAGGTTCTTTTATAAATAATTAAATTAATTTTCTTTTTTAAGTTATTTTCCGGAAATTTTATATACTTGCTATGAAAGTTGAGAAGCAGGTAATAGTTTCTTTGGTCATTATAGATATGCTGCCAAGAAATACTGGTGTTAGATGTCATGACAAGCAATGTGGAAAAGTAAACATGCTGTAGTATAAAGAATAACTAACTCAAGAAAGAATAGCCAGGTGTGTATGCTTGTCTTTAACTTGCATACTTTGAGGTTTGGACAAGATGTATTAACTTCCATAAGCTTTGTGGCCTCATCTATGAGATAGCGACACTATAGCCCAGATCACAGGATTTTAGAGAGATGATGTATGTGAATTAGCTGATAGCCAATATATTGCTACATTTTTAAGTGTTCATTTTAGAAGTCCCCAGGACCCTAAAAAGTTGACATAATCTCAAGCTTAGAATATTTGGAAATTGGTCAGGCATAAAAGTGTACGAAGATGATGAAATAATTTATTGGATTAAGAGCAATGTAATTTTGCCTTTTTTGCTGTATCTCTGCTCTTAACCAAATCATGAACCTGTCTTGGGACTTCAGCGGGATATAAAAGTATGTGCTTCGCTCCAGTTGCACCTCCTTCCATATAATTTTCCTATTCATGGATATAAATGTATATTGAATCATATTATAAATGTCATGCTCTAAATTGAGTGCAATGGGAGTAAAGATGGTAAGAATATAGAGAAATACTTACCTTTGTAGATTTTGCTATCTGGTAGAAAAATCACCAGGAACATGCACACACTACACATACACAAACTGAACACACACACACACTCACACATGCACACAGATACATGCCTGGTATATCAGATAAGTTTATCTTACCTTGTCTCCAAATTAGAAAAAAACAGGTTGCTAACAACAAAATCATCCTCCTTAAGCTTTTGAAATAAATTTTCTGAATGAAAACTCCTCTAGAGGCCCAAATATTAAAATAAAGCATTATGTCAGTATTATAATGATTGTGTATTTTGCCCAGCAAATTTGAACACATAAATATATCAAGACAGGTAACATGCCTGTATTTTCTTCAGATCTTGATTCTACAACCTGTGAGAGAAAAACTGTCCTAATATTCTCCTGTGAGGAGAAATGTGTGTTTTTAAATTTCTTCTTGCTTTAGTTAATTTTCCATCAAAAATTTATAAATCTGATATAAGACTATGGAGCTACCACAGTCACCCCAGAGAATTTATGAAAGTGGCTGGATTTAAGCTGTGAAGGAAAACAAAATCAGCATTTGAGCATTCAAGACAGCCTACCTGTGGGTCAAACATAAAATGCCTGACTTCCAGGGCTTTCTACCTACCTGGAATTCTTAGTGGGTGCAAAAAGTCCAATGAACTGGTGTATGGGAACTAATAGATTCTCATAGCCTATTTTGTCAGGATGTAAATTTAATTATCAATGATCTCAACTCTTACCATCAGATTTAATCTGTAAACAGCTATGATGGATATATTTAAATATAGTTTGTGACTGTTTAATATTCCTTCAACTAAAATTAACAAGTGAACTTGGGAAGATTAAATGAGTGACTAAACCCAAAAGATTCCACAAGCAGGTAATTCTTATTTGCCTGTGCAAAATATGTTTATGCCCAATATAATCTAAATTCACTGGTCCATTAATAAAAATTGATTCAGCCAAACTGATTACCTAGAATGTGGTTCACTCCTGAACACACTTCATCATTCATCTTGGGCTGTAAATTTAAAATGTCCTTCAATAGAGAAAAAAGTTGACGTAAAAACCAAGGAAAAGCAAGGTAGTATCTGACTTTCCCCAATCCTCTTCTTCCTCAAATCAAACTAGTTAGTAACAGAGACAAGACATCAATAGTATTCTTACTAAAAATTAAGAGCTTGGACATTCTTCTAAGATTTGGAAAAATATTGGAATTCCCTCGGGACAGCAAAGAAATCTGGCATCTTCTAAATGGGCATTGATATGACACTCCATTCAGCCCAAAAGTAGTCCACATTATTATCTAGACCAGTAGACTGATTTTCAAACCCATTTTTAATTTTGCAAAATGTTCTTTAGAGCCAACATGTAAGTTAAAGCAAAGAAAGACCATAAAGCAGGATATCCTGACTGATTGCATAGGCCCTGCTTTTAAACTCTATTTATCTACTGCCCTTTGATAGTCCCAGATACTCAACTTCACACACACACAAAATTTAATACAGAAAAAGAAACTGGTATTTAGTGGCTTAACAGGATCTGGAGATTAACGTGAAACTATAACACAAGGCTTGTCCCTGGAAAATGTGAGTACACTATGTTGGGGTTTTTCTGTTTTGCTTTTTCTACAACAGAGGGCTTTATTTATTTTGAAAGATTCTATGAAATGTTGCCTATGAAATAACATTATGGAAAAAAGTGAACATAAAAAGGCACATCACACCCAATTCCAATGCAGAAAAAAAAACCCATAATATGAAAGTTACTGTTCAAAATGTTGAAACGGGGCCATTTCCCACTAGTAGAGTAATAGGTAACCCCTCTTTCTTCTTCATCCTACTGCCCTGTATCTTGCAAATTCTCTAGAGTGGACATGCAATAATTTTGAAATGCTGTATCTCATTATTTTAACATAATATATGAAAATGCATAAAAATAGTAAAAGTACCCAAAATTCTAACATAATTCTGAAGTTTCAACAATATCAAGTGTGTTCATATTCCAGTACATTTTGCACTCACTTGCTAAAGAACCTTCTGTTCAGTAGGTGTTTTACTGCCTCTTTCACATCCTTGTTTCTAAGACTGTAGATTAAAGGATTCATCATGGGAGTCATCACCCCATAGAACATGGATATAATTTTGTCGGTAGCATCCAAGTCATCCGAATTAAGTGTCTCTTTAGACTTGGGCTTCATGTACATGAAGAGGATGGTCCCATAGAATATTATGACCACAGTCAGATGGGCTGAACAGGTAGAGGAAGCTTTGCTTCTCCCCTCGGAAGAGCTAATTTTGAAGATGCTCACAATGATTAACGTGTAAGAGACAATGATTAATAACAAAGGTGTCAATATGAACAATGTTGTGGCCACAAGCATGATGAACTCATTGTCTGAGATGTCAGCACAGGCCAGTTTCATGACAGCCAGAATTTCACAGGTGAAATGATTGATGATGTTATTCCTGCAGAAAGGCAATTGTACCACAAACACTGATTGTACTGCAGAATTGACAGCTCCTATGATCCAGGACCCAGCTGCCATGGGTACATAGGCATCCTTACTCATGATGATGGGATATCTCAGAGGGTTGCAGATAGCCACATAGCGGTCAAAGGCCATCATGCCCAGAAGCACACACTCTGTTGTCCCCATGGCCAAGCCGAGGAACATCTGCACTGCACAGCCAGAAAGGGAAATGGTCTTTCTTTCTGAAAGGAAGCTCACTAGCGTGGAGGGAATAGAGGTGGTGGTGTAGCAGATGTCCAAGAAGGAGAGGTTCCCCAGAAAGAAGTACATAGGGGTGTGAAGGTGAGGGTCCAAGATGCTGATTAAAATGAGAGTACCATTCCCCAGAAGGATGACCACATACATTATGAAGATGAGCACAAAAAAGAGTAACTCAAGTCTTGGGTGACCAGAAAGTCCCTTCAGAAAAAATTCCACCAGAATGGTGTGGTTTTCCCATTCCATTTTACTCTCTATTTAACCTGTAAGAGAGAGCATGTTAAGACAAATATTTATCTTACTCTGATTACTTTCAAGCATGTATCAATGAATATGTATCATAATCCCCAGGAAAAAGAAAAATAAAAAAGGAAAAGACCAAAGAAAGAAGAGAGAGCATAAAGAAAAGTGGACAGAAAAGAGGGAATTATGAATGGAGAGAGGGAAGGGAATGAATGAATGAGTGAATGGAGAGAGGGAAGGGAAGATAAAACTAACATGTTTCGTGCTACAGCCATTTAATTCATTTAATATCATCACAGTTCTAGGAGAGGCGTATTAGTATCCATATTTTACAGATGAATAAATCAAAGCAGATATGTTAAGTAAACTTGACCAAAGGTAAATACTATATAGCAGAGCTAAGATTCAAACCTAAATCTTCCTGTTGAAGTCTGAACTTTTTGTCATATTTGTCATCACATACATAAACTGTAGGTTATAATAGAAATGAGCATTGTATTACATATACTTGAACACTAAACTATTTTTATTGGCTATAAATCACCACACAATAGATCGATGCTCTTGTCACTCCTTGAAATTATACTATGTTACGTATGTTGTCTCTCTTTCCCAGTAGAATGTAAACTTCATTAGGGCTGGTACTTATTCTTGCTTATTTCCACAGCCCCTGTAGCTAGAATAGAACAGACACAGATGCAAATGTTCAAAAACATTTCTTGGATGAATGAACAAAATCAAAGGCAAAATAATTGCTACATTTCTTACTGTGTGCCAATCCTCTATTAATTGTTTTCTTTGTGCATTACATAATGGAGTCTGAATAGCAAGCCTATGAGGTAATTACTGTTACTATTAGTATCACCAAGCCTATTGTGTAGAGGGGAAAATAAGGCACAGAAAAGTTAAGTAATTTGCTTAAGGTCAATTTCATAAAGACAAATAAATGAAAGAGCAAGGACTTAAACCCAAGCAGTATGGCTTCAGAATTCGAGCTCTAATACTCATTTGGCAAAGAGAATTTGGCTCACAGACTAGAATACCTTGTATTCTAATTAACAATACTAATATTTCAAAAGAAATATCAGATAAAAACTGTGATCAGATAAAAAAAAGAAGATTTCAATATGGTAATTTGATAGCAGTTGATTTTATACTTTATATTTTGCTAGAAAAGTACTCATTTCTATAACAAATATTTTGTCACAGAGTTGCATTTGATCATTATAATTCTTGTGTCCTCCCTTACATGAAAAGTTCTCATTTTCATTATGATGCCTGTTTGACTTTTTTTTTTCCTTTATTCGACTCACAAGGGGTTTTCCTATATTACAGGTCTTTAAAAAAAAAAAAAAACAGCTTTAGGTTAGATTTATCCTCGTGACTTTTTGAGTTTCATTAAGTTTCTGTCTTCATAAGTTTCTTGTTTATTCGGATCTATTTTTCTAAGTTTCTGATTTCTAATTTCTATGTTCTCTATTCTAATACTATTTATCTAATTTCTTGAAATAAGAAGAAAAATTCTTATTTCCTCCTCCTTACTCCTCTATTTCTTGCTCAAATAAAGGCACTTAGAACAGTTTTTGTTCTATTATAGACTTAGTTTTCTATGAGAATTTTTTTTACTGGTTTCTAGATAATTTTTTTGTTTTTCTCTTTAGTTCCTCTTAAATCCAAGCATCTTTCTTCATTATTTAGTGATTAGGCATTTTCATTCTATTTTTATTATTTATTTCCCATTTTATTTAATTAATTTATATATTTTTATTTTTATTTTTTTCTGCGACAAAGTCTCGCTCTGTCATTCAGGCTGGAGTGCAGTGGCGCCATCTTGGCTCACTGTAGCCTCTACCTCCCTGGTTCAAGTGATTCTCCTGTCTCAGCCTTCTGAGTAGCTGGGACTACAGGCATGCACCACCACGCCTGGCTAATTTTTGTGTTTTTGGTACAGACAGGGTTTCGCCATGTTGCCCTTGCTGATCTTGCACTCCTGACCTCAAGTGATCCACCTCAGCCTCCCAAAGTTCTGGGATCAGAAGTGTGAGCCACCACGCCCGGCCCCATTTTATTTTAATAGAAAACATGACCTATAATTCTCTAGTTATGGACTTTTGTGCAGCCAATTGCATGATGTATGTTGTAAATGTTAACAAAAAAATGTGATTTCTCTTTGGGAAGATACATAGTTTTAAATACATGCACAAAACAGGTATACATGTAAAATTTATTAAATATATTATTAAAATCTTTGAAATAACCTATTTTCTGCTGCCTAGATTTAATGAATTCTATGTAAATATTGTTATCAAATTCTTGTATACCTAGAATCCTTTTGTTATATAGGCTTAGTTTCTATGTTAGTGTAGTGTAGATAGATTTATGGTTAATATATCATCTTCATAAATTATAACTTATCATTAATTGATGTATCTTTATTCTATTTGACACTTTAAAGTTTAATTCTACTTTTATGATATTGATATTACACTCCCGCTTTCTTTTAGTTTGCTTTTGTCTGCTATCTCTTTGTACAACTTCTTATTTTTAACTTCTCTTTTTCACTTTGTTTAAAGTATACTACTTTTAAATAACAAATATCAGAGTATGTTTTAACTACTTTTTAAATGTTTGGGTCATTTATGAGAATATTCAGACTATTCTATTTACTTTAACATAATTATTAATGTACTACATCTTATTCTTTCCATCATACTTTATTTTTATTCATTATTTGAATTATTGCATTCTCTTTTTCCCAGTTTTTTATTTTTGCTAATTGACGAAGTTGTCATTCACTATTTGTTTTCATTAAGTTGAACACTACTCATTTTTTTCATTCAGGAAGTGATTGCCTTCTTTTTCTCTCCTCATAATTTAACTTCTAAGGCCATAAACTGTTTTCTCCAATAGGGTGTGCTCTAATCACCTTAATTATCCCTGAAATCTAAATGAAGCCAAAACTCAAAATACTTTTACTCCACTTTTATTCTAATCTCCTAATTCCTAGGTTTTACTGGTATAATACTTACAAAGTCCTTACAATCTGCCTTTTTAAGAGTTCCTTTTCAGCCTTTAGATTATACAAGCTTGGATAGTCAATATGTCTAACTATCTATACATATATTCATTGATCATCATTGATCCCTTTTTTTCACTCTCTTGAGGATTGTATTTATTGTTTTGTGTTTGATTATAGTATATTTGCAGCAATTTTCCTCGATGAGAATGTGAGTAATATATACTCACATCAATCCCTATAGATTACCAAATGTCTTCCTTTTATATCACAGGCAAAAGTTTATGAATTTTGGCCCACACATTCTGTGTCTGAGATATAGCCTAAGGAAATAATAAAGATAGTTATATACAAAATGGAACACATAGTTATATATTTTATATATAGAAAATATATCTTATATGCAACATAAATATACAAATATTATATATACAGTACACACAAAAAAAAATTGTGACTGTTATCATTAATTGACATATCTTTATCCTATTTGATACTCTGTTATTAGCTGAAAAGAATATTTAAGAAACCAGTGACCAAAATCCCAGGGAACTTTCAAACAGAAATTCCCTAATACCTCCCACTCTGTGGCAATATTTATCAAAATAACAAATACATATATATATAACATTTGACCACAGACTGACTTCTCAGTAATTATCATACAGGTATACTGGCACATGCCAAAGAGATTTTAATAGAAATGGATTCATTAAAGTATCATTTGTAACAGCAGATGTAGCAAACAATTTAAATTTCCACAAGAAGAAAACATAGAAATAATGCAATATTGTACTGCCGTCACAAGGAGTAAGGATGTTTTGTGCACTGATGTGGAAAGATCTTCAAGAAACATTAAATGGAAAAGTAATAGAACAGTATATATGGTACACTATCATTTGTGTAAAAAAGATTATATATATATGTGTATGTGTATATATACATGCATGTATTTTTGTTCACACATAGAGTATCTCTAGAAAAATAAACAATAGTTTTTATCCCCAGAAAAGGGAATATATAGCTTATTAATTGGGGCGGGACTGTTAACAGTATACCCTTTAGCACATTTTTAAAATTTTGAACCTTGTGAATGTATTTCCTATTAATAAAATAATATTTAAGCTAAAGAGTTCTTGTTTGTGGGATTCCTAGCCTTTCTCCTTTCACCTTTCCAATAGCATACTACATTAAAGCCATCCGTTGCCATAGGACATGACCACATGCATTTGAAAACTGTTCTAACTTGTTCAATATCACACACTAAATGGTAATTGCTGAGGATGAACAGGTACTTTATAGTCACATTCCCAATACTTAAGATAATTTATTTAGTATCAGTAGGACTTGCAGTACTATGTCTGTCTCATTTCCTACCAACAAGCTCTAGGCTATTCTTTGACCTGGCTTAGGGTCTAACATCCAATTCCATGTCACTTTTTTTCCACGAAACATTTTAATGTTTTTATGATCTAGAAAATTTCCTGGAATAAAATTATGGTTCAGTAAATGTTGGCTATTATTCTTTTCCATTTTCAGGTTCAAGGAGCCTTTTATCTTCAGAATATTTCCTCCACCTAACATTATGAGGTACTTTGCTGTGAATCTCAGGTCCATCTTCTCAATTTCGAGACATAATTAGTCTCCTCAGGATCACTTCAAACCCAACCTGATTTCCCTATTCTAAATTCCCCCTATCGTTCTGTAGCTTTTCATACAATTTACATTTTCTAGAATTTTTCAGATTTTCTGGATTAAGGTATTAACTACTTGAGACCCCAGAGGGCATTTTACAATGCGGAGTTCTTTGAATAATGGAGATTATATGCAAACCTGTAAAAATCTGCTCTCTGCAAAAATTATTGTTTCATGAGCTACCTCTGTGCTACAAGATATACCATCAAGCATATTTCATAATATTGTCAAGGTCACAGACTTTGGAAGAGGCTTGGTTCAAATGCCATCTCTGCCCCTTATTAACTAGGTGACCTGGACATGTCTCTGATCACCATAGTCATCAGTAGAATGAAGATATGGACAACATCTATACCATGTACTTGTGCATAAGATTAAATGAAATGATGTGTATAACTCACTTAGCACAGCAAGGGTTCCTATTGTTAGTGGTTTCCTTCATGCTTGGCTTTAATGACTTTTCATTCTGTTAAGAGTTTTTTTGACATCCCTGAACTAGTCATTATCATCCTTCCATGAGGTCAGGTATATGTGGCTTACTTAGTCAGATCACACACTATGTTCTAATAAATGGTATTATTTTCATTTTTTAAAAATTAGGATACGTTTTATCACAGTCACTCCAACACTTTGGATGCCAGTGAATTAGGTGGCAGAAAAGAAAAATCATCCAAAAGATCCACCTTTTATCGAAGTCAATTTATTTCATAAAAAAGATAGGATTTTATTTTTTTTCATGTTGATAACAGTTTATTGTGTCCTCTTATATTTGACAGTTTTATTGGATATAAAACCTTATCTTTTTTTTGAAGTCTTCTTTTTATTATTATACTTTAAGTTCTAGGGTACATGTGCACAATGTGCAGGTTTGTTACATATGTATACATGTGCCATGTTGGTGTGTTGCACCCATTAACTCATCATTTACGTTAGGTATAAAAGATAAGATTTTAATAAGGTGCCAGTGTGTTGCTAGTTTTAAAACACATGACTGAGTTTTTCTTGACTGAAACTATTTTAACATCTTGAGCAAGCCTATTAACATAAAAGAGGAAAAGGAAAGTTACTCACTATTACAATCATGACCTAATGACAGAAAAGCAAATATTCAAAATAGTCGCCAATGCTAATGCAAACACATAAGGATATTCCCTAAGATGATCTCTTTCTGACTATGCATTCCTTTGGCAAATTATATATTTCAGATCCCAAGAGATTATTTAGTTTTTTTTTTTATTTTCCAAATTTGTCATAATGTTCTCCTCACATGATACTGTTGTATAAAGAGTCCCTGTCATATTACCTAGCACACCGTTCAACTGGTTCACTGGTAACTGAACCAAATTGACCTGAGTTACTGCTAGGGAACCACAGTCAAGGATTTGTTTAATATGAATTCTATACTAAAGAACACACAATCTGCTATTTACTGTGTAATAAGCTTTAATTAGCTTAAGTAGATGATACAGTGTCCAAATACTTTGTAATGTCATAAAAAACTGCACACTGACATAAAGTAATTCACAAGGGCTGGGCAAATTCAGTTTTTGTTCAATTGCCTTTGCATGCAGAACTGCTCTTTTGGTCTCATGGTTTTTATTTTGTTCCTACTACATCCCAGTGAATAGACACTTAAATTCCATTTCCAATATTCAAAGTCACTCTCAAATCAGAAAAAAAAAATGTCATTTTCAAACTGATTTAACCAATCAGTCCAAGTCTCTCTTACAGTTGAAACATTGTTCTTGTTTTTGCAATAACTTACCTCCAAACCAGAGGTTGCCTCTCTTTATAGGGTGCAACAGCAACAGACAATTTTGTCTTACTTTTCTACTTGCAGCCAGTCTTCATAGCCACTCATTAGTAGCTGAATCTCCAAAGAGGCAAGACGAGTGAGTAATCATTTTGTCATAGAAATTGATTGACTAGTTGATGTTTACAGAAACATGGTGTTATGGACATGATTACTAGGATAAAGTGTCATGAAATTCTTCTAGTTCAGAAAAAGTATCATCAGATTCCTCTAGTTTAAAAATAGAAAGAAAATTAATATTTGGCAATAAATTTTAGGAATAGGGCAAATTGAATTTGCCTCTGAAGTGCATGCTGAAATACCATCCCATTGTGGAGACCCACAAATTCCTAAAGATCTGCCTCAGGATTTAAGAGACAATTTAAATATTTAAGGACTCTTCTAAACCTCTGTGCACAACTTTAAATTGCCTCCAAGATGAAAGGTGTATAAAACTTATGAAACTTCAGAAATAAAGCCCTGAAGACCTAATTATGGGAGGCCTATTACTCTATTTCATACACAAAATCAGAAGGGAGCTTCTCTCTCTCTCTCTCTCTCTCTCTCAATCTCTCTCATCATTTTGGAAGTATAACTGATGTTTTCTGTACACAAATTTCCCATTCACTTTATGGATTTAGTTTACAGTAAAAGTTGACTCTGAATAAACATATATTTACAGATGGTGTGAAATAATATGCATTGAGTAAAAACTGTACTTCAAGAAACATACAACCATTCTACTTTTCATCTTCAGCACAATATTCAATAAATTACTTAGGATATTCAACACTTTAATATAAAATAGGCTTTGTGTTACATGATTCTGCCCACCCATAGGCTAATGTAAGTCTTCTGAGCACATTTAAGGTAGGCCAGGCTAAGCTGTGATGTTTGGCAAGTTAGATAAACTAAATGCATTTTCAATGTATGATATTTTCATGTAAAGATGAGTTTATTGGTATACTCTTTGACATTGATATATTTTCATTTATTCTAACGGTGATATATACTGTAAAAAAAAGAATGAAAGGACAGAAGGAAGAGAAGGATGGAGGAATGGGAAAAGGATAAAGGAAGGAAGAGAGGGAATAAAAGAGGAAAGAAGACAGGGACAGAAAGAGAAGGTAAAAGAAGGCAAGACAAGAAAAGATATCCTCAAGCAGTATATAATGGTGTAAAAAACAAAGCCAAGAATAAACTATAATTAAATAGCCTGGCAAAAACCACAGTTCAGAAAGAAGGCTGATACTAATCATAAAACAATGTAATAACTTAGGCTAAAATAATTTGCCTTTCTCTAATGAGAGCAAACTGAGGCATCTTAAGGCTGAACACTTCTGAATGATTGTTTTCATTTTTTCTCTTCTTTATTTTTAAAATTTATTTTTATCAAAATAATTTCAAAATTTATTCAGACAGAATTCTAAAAGTGAAATGAGTGGGTCAAAATCAATGAAGATTTTTTATGAATCTAAAAGGATAATACTAATGTAGTGTTATGGTGTCGCTAATTTTATCTTCCTCTTATCAACACTGGATGTTGTCAATAATTTAGATTTTCAATCTAATCTAAAGGGCTTAAAATGGTATCTTGTCATTATTGTAAATGGCATTTTAATCTTTATAGATATTTACTATTTACATTTTGGTGTGTCTTAAAGAGTTTTATTTTCTTTCATGTGAGTTGTGCACTCATGTCCTCTATTCATTTTTCTATTGTGTATTTTACATTTTTACACTGGTTTCTTAAATATTCTTTTCAGCTAATAACAAAGTATCAAATAGGATAAAGATATATCAATTAATGATAACAGTCACAATTTTACATTTTTAAATCACTTGTTTACATGAAATGTATTATATATATATACTCTATGAAACTTGTAGAAAGAACATCTGCAAATATAAAAATGCCTCAGACACAGTCCTCACCTTCAAGAATCATATAGTTAGTAAGAAAAACATTCATGTAATTAGTGAATTTCAATACAAAGTGGTGAAAGCTGTGATTAAAGTGATGGCTTAGTGTGCTATGGAAGTGAAACAGGAAAAATTCCCTTATCCCCCTGGCAGAGCATGTGATGGGGGTGTGGCTTGCTTCTTCAGTTACACTAAGAATTGTAGATTTTGCTATCTGGTAGAAATTTTTGCTATCTGGTAGAAATGGCAGATTTTGCTATCTGGTAGAAATGGTAGATTTTGCTGTCTGGTAGAAAAATCACAGGAACACGCACACACTACAAACACACACACACACTACACACACACACACACACACACACACACACAGAGATACATGACTGTTATATCAGATAAGTTTATCTTACTTTGTCTCCAAATTAGAAAAAACAAATTGCTAACAACAAAATGATCCTCCATAAGCTTTTAAAATAAAATTTCTGAATGAAAACTCCTCTAGAGGCTCAAGTATTAAAATAAAGCATTATGTCAGTATTATAATGATTGTGTATTTTGCCCAGCAAATTTGAACACATAAATATATCAAGACAGTTAACATGCCTTTATTTTCTTCAGACCTTGATTCTACAACCCTGTGAGAGAAAAACTCTCCTAATATTCTCCTGTAAGGAGAAATGTGTGCTTTAAAATTTCTTCTTCCTTTAATTAATTTTCTATCAAAAATGTATAAATCTCTAATATCCAGAATCTACAAAGAACTTAAACAAATTTACAAGAAAAAAACAAACAACCCTATCAAAAAGTGGGCAAGATATGAACAGAAACTTCTCAAAAGAAGACATTTATGCAGCCAACAGACACATGAAAAAATGCTCATCATCACTGGTTATCAGAGAAATGCAAATCAAAACCACAATAAGTTACCATCTCACGCCAGTTAGAATGGTGATCATTAAAAAGTCAGGAAAAAACAGGTGCTGGAGAGGATGTGAAGAAATAGGAATGCTTTTACACTGTTGGGACTGTAAACTAGTTCAACCATTGTGGAAGACAGTGTGGAGATTCTTCAAGGATCTAGAACTAGAAATACCATTAGACCCAGTGATCCCATAACTGGGTATATACCCAAAGGATTATAAATCATGCTACTATAAAGACACATGAACACCTATGTTTATTGCGGCACTATTCACAATAGCAAAGACTTGGAACCAGCCCAAATGTCCATAATGATAGACTGGATTAAGAAAATGTGGCACATATATGCCATGGAATACTATGCAGCCATAAAAAAGGATGAGTTCATGTCCTTTGCCGGGACATGGACGAAGCTGGAAACCATCATTCTCAGTGAACTATCACAAGGACAGAAAACCAAACACTACATGTTCTCACTCATAGGTGGGAATTCAACGATGAGAACACTTGGACACAGGGTGGGGAACATCACACACTGGGGCCTGTCGGGGGGTAGGGTGTTGGGAGAGGAATAGCATTAGGAGAAATACCTAATGTAAATGACGAGTTGATGAGAGCAGCAAACCAACATGGCACATGTATACCTATGTAATAAACGTGCACATTGCGCACATGTACCCTATAACTTAGAGTATAATAATAAAAAATGGTATAAATCTGATGTAACACTATGGAGCCACCTGAGTCATCCCAGAGAATTTATCAAAGTGGCTGGATTTAAGTTGTGAAGGAAAACAAAATTAGCATTTGAGCATTCAAGACAACCTGACTATGAGTCAAACATAAAATGCCTGACTTCCGGAGTTTTCTACCTACCAGGAATTCTTAGTGGGTGCAAAAAGTCCAATGAACTCGTGTATGGGAACTAATAGATTTTCACAGCCCATTTTGTCAGGATGTAAATTTAATTATCAATAATTTCAACTCTTGCCATCAGATTTAATCTGTAAACAACTATGATGGATATATTTAAATATAGTTTGTGACTGTTTAATATTCTTTCCACTAAAATTAACAAGTGAACTTGGGAAGATTAAACGAGTGACTAAACCCAAAGATTCCACAAGCAGGTAATTCTTACTTGTCTACGTAAAATATGTTTATGCCCAATATACTCTAAATTCACTGGTCCATTAATAAAAATTGCTTCAGCTAAACTGATTACCTAGAAGGTGGTTCACTCCTGAACACACTTCATCATTCATCTTGGGCTGTAAATTTAAAATGTTCTTCACATAGAGTAAAATGTTGACGTAAAAACCAAGGAAAAGCAAGATAATGTCTGACATTCCCCAATCCTCTTCTTCCTCAAATTAAGCTGGTTAGTAACAGAGACAAGACATGAATAGTATTTGTACTAAAAATTAAGAGCTTGGACATTCTTCTAAGACTTGGAAAAATATTGGAATTCCCTCGGGATAGCAAAAAAATTGGGCATCTTCTAAATGGGCATTGATAGGACACTCCATTCAACCCAAAACTAGTCCACATTATTATCTGGACCAGTAGACTGATTTTCAAACCTATTTTTAATTTTGCAAAATGTTCTTTATGCTAAAGCCAACCTATAAGTTAAAGCAAAGAAAGACCATAAAGCAGGATATCCCGATTGATTGCATAGGCCCTGCTTTTAAACTCTATTTATCTCCTGCCCCTTGATAGTCCCAAATACTCAGCTTCACACAAAAATATTTAAATACAGAACAAGAAAATAGTATTTAATGACTCAACAGGATCTGGAGATTAATGTGAAACTATAACACAAGGCTTGCCACTGGAAAATGTGAGTGCAGTATATTGGGTTTTTTTCTGTTTTGCTTTTTCTACAACAGAGGGCTTTATTTATTTTGAAAGAGTCAATGAAATGTTGCCTATGAAATAACATTATGTAGAAAAGTGAACATAAAAAGGCACATCACACCCAATTCCAATACAGCAAAAATTTAAAAACCATAATACGAAAGATACTGTTCAAAATGTTGAAAAGTAGCCATTTCCCACTATTAGAGTAATAGGTAGCCCCTCTGTCTTCTTCATCCTACTGCCCTGTATCTTGCAAATTCTCTAGAGTGGACATGCAATAATTTTGAAATGCTGTATCTCATTATTTTAACATAATATATGAAAATGCAGAAAAATAGTAAAAGTATCCAAAATTCTAACATAATTCTGAAGTTTCAACAATATCAAGTGTGTTCACACTCCAGTACATTTTGCATTCACTTGCTAAAGAACCTTCTGTTCGGTAGGTGTTTTACTGCCTCTTTCACATCCTTGTTTCTAAGACTGTAGATTAAAGGATTCATCATGGGAGTCATCACCCCATAGAACATGGATATAATTTTGTCGGTAGCATCCAAGTCATCTGAATTAAGTGTCTCTTTAGACTTGGGCTTCATATACATGAAGAGGATGGTCCCATAGAATATTATGACCACAGTCAGATGGGCTGAGCAGGTAGAGAAAGCTTTGCTTCTCCCCTCAGAGGAGTGAATCTTGAGGATGCTGGAAATGATTAATGAGTAAGAGATAACTATCAAGAGCAGTGGCATCAATGTGAACAATATTGTGGCCACAAGCATGAGGAACTCATTGCCTGAGATGTCAGCACAGGCCAACTTCATGACAGCTAGAATTTCACATGAGAAATGATTGATGACATTCTTCCTGCAGAAAGGCAATTGTACTACAAATGTAGTTTGTACTGCAGAGTTGACAATCCCTGCAAACCAGGACCCAACAGCCATGGGTACATAGGCATTCTTGCTCATGATGATGGGATATCTCAGAGGGTTGCAGATAGCCACATAGCGGTCAAAGGCCATCATGCCCAGAAGCACACACTCTGTTGTCCCCATGGCCAAGCCAAGGAACATCTGCACTGCACAGCCAGAAAAGGAAATGGTCTTTCTTTCTGAAAGGAAGCTCACTAGTGTGGAGGGAATAGAGGTGGTGGTGTAGCAGATGTCCAAGAAGGAGAGGTTCCCCAGAAAGAAGTACATAGGGGTGTGAAGGTGAGGGTCCAAGATGCTGATTAAAATGAGAGTACCATTCCCCAGAAGGATGACCACATACATTATGAAGATTAGCACAAAAAAGAGTAACTCAAGCCTTGGGTGAACAGAATGTCCCTTCAGAAAAAATTCCACCAGAATGGTTTGGTTTTCCCATTCCATTTAAATGTCTCTCTTTTACCTGTAAGAAGTCAAAAAAATTAATATAATTTATTTACATGGTAAATCCAAGTATACCAATGTACAAATATAAAAATTTGCCACGGACCCATAAAAGTATTGAAGAAAGAGAAAATAGGGAAGAGGAGGAAGGAATATACGGAAATGGAATGAAAAGAATTAACAATGCAGGAAGAGAAATATGAGGGGAAAGCTTATGATATTGATCACTCATTCTTGGCCAGGAACTTTGTGATTTTTTTTCACATTACTTAATTTAAACTCCACATTATCATTTGAAAGATAAGAAAACCTAAAGTGAGAGAGTTCAGCCTAAAGTCATATAACTAATGTGTAGCAAAGCCTAGGCTCCAAGACTACCTGTTTGTGTCCCATACTTGCCTGAGGTTTTTTAATGAATTATAAAAGCAATACAGAGTGTATTGCATAAGAGATTTGGTAATTTACTTTAAAACCTCACTCCCAGGTCAGGAGAACTCAACAATAACCCATATGTATTCCAACACTGAAAGAAGTGTGTCAATCTGGAGGGAGAATCATCAGAAATGAACCCAACCAGTGATTACTGCATTCCTGATTATCCAGAGAACACGACCAATTCATGTAAAGCCCAATAATATGAAATCTTCGTGTTAAAGTGCAAACACCTTTTTCTTTGGTTAGGGGTGGAATTTTTTTGTTGTTTTTTAAAATTATCATACAGTTAGATGTCATACCATAAACTGACTTTTTATTTCCTAGTGTATGGTTCTGTGAATTTTAAAACATGTATAGATTCATATAACCACGGCCATAACCAGAACACAGAACTCTTCTATTACCCCAAAACACTTCTTTGTGATATTCTTTTCTTAGTCACCTCTTCCACTTACCTGTACATCCTGGCAACCACTGATATTTTCTATCCCTATAGTTTTACGTTTACCATAATGTCATATAAATACATATAAATAGAATCATATGAGCCACTGGGGTTGAGCTTCTTTCACTTAGATAAAGCCTCTGAGATCCATTCAAGTTATTATTGCTAAATAGTATTCTATTGAGTAGATTACTGTATTTTGCCTATCTGTTCACCTTTTGAAGGATATTTGGATTGTTTCCAGTTTGGGGCAATTATGAATAGAGCTACTATAAATATTTCTGCCCCAATTTTTGTATAACCATAAGCTTTCATTTTTTTAGAATATCCAGGAATGAGACAATAAGCATGTTTAAATGTATAAGAAGCTGCCAAACAGTTTTCCAGAGTGGCTGTACCAGTTTTGCATTTCAACCAACAATGTATGAGAGTTCCACTTGCTTCCCATCTCATCATTTAATATTGTCAGTAATTTTTTATCCATTCTAATAGATAGTCATATTTAATTATGATTTTATTTTACATTTCCTTGATGACTGATGATGTTTTTCCATTCTTTAGTAAAGTATCTTTTGCCCCCTTTTTTTGTTAACAAATGGGGGTCTCGCTATTTTCCCAGGCTGTCCTCAAACTCCTGGCCTCAAGCCATTCTCCCACCTCAGCCTCTGAGTATCTGGGACTACAGATTCATGTAACTACCAGCTTAACCAGAACACAGAACTACAGGCATGCACCACCATGCTGGTTCTATTGCTCATTTTTAATTTTTTTTCCTTGTTGAGTTTTGAGAGTTCTTTATATATTTTGGATATGAGTTATTTATCATGTGATTTGCATATATTGTCTCCCAGCAGCTGGTTTGTCTTCTCATTCTCTAATGCAAACACCTTTTAGTTGCCATGTTAATTGGTTGCTGCCTAAGTCCAATTGAACATGATGCAAAGAAAGACTACGACTAAAGAGACATGTTCTAACAGCACATCTCACTTTAGGTGATACTGCAGGAAAATATCCACTGGAAAATAGCCATTCCCTGGGAATTGGAAATGGTGGATTTTGCTTAAACTTGCCTCAGAAAGTCTCAAGCTATCTCTTTTAATTTTTTCTCAGGAACAGTCATTTCTCCCCACCCAACTACCCCTCTACACAAACAAATTTCCAGTAGTATCATTGTCCATTGATGAATATCTTCCACTTAGTTCACAAAACAAAAGTAATTTCTGAAAACAAACCAGGCACTTAACACATAGGCCATTTTTCTTTATTCACAAAACTTGGCACAAGTTTAAGGTCTAAATTGAGTTGTTTGAACTTATTTCAACCAGCTTCTAACTAACCAGCTCTGCCTTTGGCCATTATAAGGGTATTTCTCCTTTCAGCATATTTTGCCCTTATTTCCATCAACTCCACTTTTTATACTTTGGGATCCTTTTATACCCTAGAAATACATCCTTTTTTATCTAAATCCTAGATTCACTTTTTTAATTCTATGTTATAAATAATGCCACCTCAATTCCAATTCCCTGTTAAATTATGACTGAGAAGCAATTTCATGGTAAGACACATTCTTCTAACCACTGCCACGATGCAGCTATTATTGTGTCAAGTCCACTTTGTCTAATAGAGAGAACATGTGCTTAAGTCCTTTCTTGGCCAGTTACTAGCTGTGACCATGGGCAATTTATAAATTCTCTGAATCTCACTATCTTCATCTATAACATGGGGGTCTTAATAGGCTTATAATGGGGTTCTCGGGAGAATAAATAGGCAAAGCATGTAAAGTACATAGCATGTAGTAAGCACTATTTTTGTTCCTTCTTATTTTCTACTGACTTGTTCTTCTCTCAAGTTCTTTTATGTCTCTGTCCCCAGTATCAACCGCTGCACAAGTATCTTTGGAATTTCATCAATCACACTTTCTCATATATCAAGTCTCCTTTCATCTAAGTCAAACTATTTTTTATCACATTCATGATATGAGATAGATGCGCATTATACCAAAGTCTACTCACTTTGCAGTGAACAGTGTTATACCATTATAAAAAAAGTCCATTGCAGTTTAAAACAAGGAACATATAGGGTGACATTTTTAAATAGAGGCTATTTCAGTTAATTCATCTAAAATCTAAATGTGTGTGTGTATCTCACAAATGTTATATCTAAAGTCACCATACAAATGCATTACCAGCAACAAAAAAAATTAAAAATATTCAAACATCTCCAAAATACTCGCAAGCATAAGAAGCCAAAATTCTTCCTATTAACTAAAGACTCATTGCTCCTCTTCATTTGCGTTTTCACAAATTCAAAGATATATTCAAGAACAAGTAATAAAGTGTTTGTGTTTCAAATAGTATGCCTAGTTAGAGGTTCTGGGACAGGGACCATGCTAGAACATTGTCTACTCATGATTAGTATTGGATGAACATTTGCTAAACTGAACAAAATCAAACTGAATTAGTGCTGTGATTTAAATGGCCACAGAATCAGAACTTTGGTGGTAACAGACTGCTTTGCATTCTGGACCAAGAGTACAGATTGGCAGCTTATTGAGCAACAGAAGAGAGATGATACTTTCAGATGCATATACATGTGCTTGTAATAAAGTGAGGACCACAAAACTGTATTTTGACCAATGAATCTTTATTCCCAGTTAGAAATTATAAACCTATTCTGTAGAAGGACTGTTCATGAAAACAACTATAAACCTAAACATCATCTGTTTTGAATGCTCAAATTACTTTGGATATGCAAGTAGTCTTTTGATAATATTTTTTCTTTTTTTCTATTTTTTAACTATATCTGAAAAAATCCTCTTGGATTGTACACTTTCTCTAATAAGAAATACTACATTTTCAAAAGACATGGCTTATTTCAATTCATTTCATAAGGCTAACCACCACCCCCGCTTCGATTTGTGTTAGTAGTATGGCTTCAGCAATTACCTCTAAATGGAAGGTCAGCTCACTTCTTAGGTTGCAATACACAGCAGATTGTTTTGCCTTGATCTTCTGTTTTTAGGCTGTTCAACAAAATTTTCTGTGAAGCTGATGAATTTCTGAAGAAGGGATTACTGTTTGGAAGCCATGATGACACAGGGTATATTATCTGTAAAACATTGATAACAAAGGTATTATTTCTAAGTTGTTTCAAAACAGCATACATTACATCAGCTATATTTACAAAGGAAGGCTAATGTGGTTCTGCTAGTTCAAAAGTAAGAGGAGAAGAAAATACTGGGCAGTTCACTTTGTGAATATGGCACATTTCATTTGCCCTTGAAGCCCAGGTGGAAACATTGTCCCATTGAGAAGGCCCAGGAAATTCTCTAAAGAATCTTCCTTGGGCTCAGGGAGGCAATTTAAATATTTCTTGCTCTCAGGGACTTCTGAAAATTTCTAAGTGATAACTTTAAATTGCTTCAGGCAAAACATATTCAAAACTTTTAGAAATTTCAAGAATAATGCCCTAAAGACTTAATCATATGAGACCCATTATTGTAATTTACATAACCAATCAGAAGCCCTGAAGACATGTCTTATCCCATTTTCAATCTATTACTATATACTGCTGAGATCCTTTCTCCAAATATATTCTAATCACTTGGTCCAGACCTTTGTTCATCCTATCATGTCATCTTGTATGTAGTACAGTAGAAAGAACTCAGACTACATTAAGTCTTCATTATTAACAATAATAATAATAGAATACAAATTTCCAGGCATCATTATAAGGGTTTTATAGATATTATGTCGTTTAATTTGTTTTTGTTAAATTAACCCCATCAAAAAGTGAGTGAAGGATATGAACAGACACTTCTCAAAAGAAGACATTTATGCAGGCAACAGACACATGAAAAAATGCTCATCATCACTGGCCATCAGAGAAATGCAAATCAAAACCACAGTGAGATACCATCTCACACCAGTTAGAATGGCGATCATTAACAAGTCAGGAAACAACAGGTGCTGGAGAGGATGTGGAGAAATAGGAACACTTTTACATTGTTGGTGGGACTGTAAACTAGTTCAACCATTGTGGAAGACAGTGTGGCAACTCCTCAAGGATGTAGAACTAGAAATACCATTTGACCCAGCCATCCCCATTACTGGGTCTATACCCAAAGGATTATAAATCGTGCTGCTATAAAGACACATGCACACATATGTTTATTGAGGCACTATTCACAATAGCAAAGACTGGGAACCAACCCAAATGTCCATCAGTGATAGACTGGATTAAGAAAATGTGGCACATATACACCATGGAATACTATGCAGCCATAAAAAAGGATGAGTTCTTGTCCTTTGTAGGGACATGAATGAAGCTGGAAACGATCATTCTCAGCAAACTATTGCAAGGACAAAAAACCAAACACCGCATGTTCTCACTCATATGTGGGAATTGAACAATGAGAACACTTGGACACAGGAAGGGGAACATCACACAGCGGGGCCTGTCGTGGGGTGGGGGGAGGGGGGAGGGATAGCATTAGGAGATATACCTAATGTAAATGACGAGTTAATGGGTGCAGCACACCAACATGGTGCATGTATACACATGTAACAAAGCTGCACGTTGTGCACATGTACCCTAGAACTTAAAGTATAATAAAAAAAAGAAAAAACAAGTTTTAATGTATAACTAATCTAGAAATAATTGTATTTTGCTCTGAAATTGGAATTTAGATGTTATTGTAAATGTGGGTGGCATTTTGAAATTCACAACAAATTCAGAAATGTTTAAATCATACGATAGAAATGTAGAAGCTATTTAGCTTTTTTATTGTTACTCCAGAAGCTAATTTGTAACTTCATCTCACTCCATACCGTAAGCATTTCCAAAAAATTCACCTAAACAGATAATACTATTCCCTAGATTTATTGGCATAAAAATCTTATCTAATTTACAGTGGGAGGAGGTGATGCAAAACCATCCCAGATCACAAGGAATTGCTTCCTGGCCATCTTGTTAAGTTCTGATCTGTCACCATGTGGCTAAGCTTCTGATACCGTTTGGCTGTGTCCCCACCAAAATCTCAACTTGAATTGTATCTCCTAGAATTCCCACGTGTTGTGGGAAGGACCCAGTGGGAGGTAATTGAATCATGGAGGCAGGTCTTTCCCCTGCTATTCTCATGATAGTGAATAAGTATCATGAGATCTGATGGGTTTATCAGGGGTTTCCGCTTTTGCTTCTTCCTCGTTTTCTCTTGCCGCCACCAAGTAAGAAGTCCCTTTCACCTCCTGCCATGATTCTGAGACCCCAGCCATGTGGAACTGTAAGTCCAATGAAAACTCTTTTTCTTCCCAGTCTCAGGTATGTCTTTATCAGCAGGGGGAAAACGGACTAATACAGTAAATTGGTACCAGTAGAGTGGGGCATTGCTGAAGAGATCCCCCAAAATGTGGAAGCGACTTTGGAACTGGGTAACAGGCAGAAGATGGAAGAGTTTGGAGGGCTCAGAAGAAGACAGGAAAATGTGGGAAAGTTTAGAACTTCCTACAGACTTGCTGAATGGCTTTACCCAAAATGTTGATAGCAATATGGATAATAAGGTCCAGGCTGAGGTGGTCTCAGATGGAGATGAGAAACTTGTTGGGAGCTGGAGCAAAGGTGACTCTTGTCATGTTTTAGCAAAGAGACTGGTGGCAATTTGCCCCTGCCCTAGAGATTTGTGGAAGTTTGAACTTGAGAGAGATGATTTTGGGTATTTGGCTGAAGAAATTTCTAAGCAGCAAAGCATTCAATAGGTGACTTGGGTGCTATTAAAGGCATTCAGTTTTATCAGGGAAGCAGAGCATAAAAGTTTGGAAAATTTGCAACCTGACAATGTGATAGAAAAGAAAAATCCATTTTCTGAGGAGAAATTCAAGCTGGCTACAGAAATTTGCATAAGTAACCAGGAGCCAAATGTTAATCCCTAAGATAATGGGGAAATTGTCTCCAGGGCATGTCAGAGGTCTTCACTGCAGCTCCTCCCATCACAGGCTGGAGGCCTAGGAGAAAGTGGTTTCGCTCGCCCAGGGAACCCCTGCTGGGTGCAGCCTAGGGACTTGGTGCCCTGCGTCCCAGCTGCTCCAGATGTGGCTAAAAGGGGCCAATGCAGAGCTCGGGCCATGGCTTCAGAGGGGGTAAGCCTCAAGCCTCAGAAGCTTCCACATGGTGTTGAGCCTGCAAGTGCACCGAAGTCAAGAATTGGGGTTTGGAAACCTCTACCTAGACTTCAGAAGATGTATGGAAACACCTGGATGTCCAGGCAGAAGTTTGCTGCAGGGATGGGGTGCTCATGGAGAACTTCTGATAGGGCAGTGCAGGAGGGAAAAGTGGGGTTGGAACCCCCACACAGAGTCCCTACTGGGGCACTGCCTAGTGGAGCTGTGAGAAGAGGGCCACCACCCTCCAGACTCCAGAATGGTAGATCTACCAACAGCTTGCACCATTTGCCTGGAAAAGCCACAGACACTCAATACCAGCCTGTGAAAGTAGCTGAGAAGGAGGCTGTACTCTGCAAAGCCACAGGGTCAGAGCTGCCCAAGACCATGGGAATGCACTTCTTGCATCAGTGTGACCTGGATATGAGACCAGAGTCAAAGGAGATCATTTTGGAGCTTTAAAATTTAACTGCCCTGCTGGATTTCGGATTTGCATGGGCTCTATAACCCCTTTGTTTTGTCCAGTTTCTCCAATTTGGAACGGTTGTATTTACCCGATGTCTGTATCCTCATTGTATCTAGGAAGTAACTAGCTTGCTTTTGATTTTACAGGCTCATGAGTGAAAGGGACTTGCCTTGTCTCAGATGAAACTTTGGACTGTGGACTTTTGGATTAATGCTGAAATGAGTTATGACTTTGGGGGACCGTTGGGAAGGCATGATTGGTTTTGAAATGTGAGGACATGAGATTTGGAGGGGCCAGGAGTGGCATTATATGGTTTGGCTGTGTTCCAACCCAAATCTCAGCTTGAATTCTATCTCCCAGCATGTGTTGTGGGAGTGACATAGGGGAGGTAATTGAATCATGGGAGCCAGTCTTTCCTGTGCTATTCTCATGATAGTGAGTAAGTCTCAAGAGATCTGATGGGTTTACCAGAGGTTTCTTTTTTGCTTCTTCCTCATTTTCTCTTGCTGCTGCCATGTAAGAAGTGCCTTTTGCCTCCCACAATGATTCAGAGGCCTCCCCTGCCATGCAGAACTGTAAGTCCAATTAAACCTCTTTTTCTTCACAGTCTCAGGTATATCTTTATCAGCAGCATGAAAACAGACTAATACAGTTTCCCTCCTAAGAAGAAAGCGGTTTTGGACTTCTGTATTTTGTTTTGTTTCATAACTATGTACTTTTTTTTTAAGAAATAAAAAGGTAAGCTCTTTACTCATTTTTCCCTCCTCTTTCTTGCCAAGTCACAAGGGACCCCTAAATCCTATATCCAGCATTACTTAAGTAAAGCCTCCAAATCAGTCATATCAGAACAGTTTCAAGCTAATGAGATTGTTCACTTACTTTATTTGGCAAAGTTTTAGTTACTGTTTTTTTAACCTATTTCATTAAACCTGGGACATAGGTCATATTGTATAAAATTAAATGGTCCATTAAAGTACTCCCCCATCAGAAAATTTTTTAAAGTACAGTTATTTCTTCTGATACAACTTGGGATGTGAAAAACATCCTAATGGACATGCAGTGCAACTCAGCCTTTATGTGTGATCTCCAGATACCTAAAGAAATTGCCCATTTAAATTAAGATTTGACAGTTTTTACTGAGTCATCTTTCTAATATAATTATGCCCCTGCTTCCATTTATTCTTTTTGGAGTTACATTTTTCTTTTATCCATATGTATGTATCCATACTTATGTTAAAAACTTAGAAATTTCAGAAAAGATACCAAGATAAATTTTTTGGATATTTCTTTCTTTTTTTTTTTTTTTTTTTTTTTTTTTTGAGACCGAGTTTCACTCCTATTGCCCAGGCTGGAGTGCAGTGGTGCGATCTCAGCTCACTGCAACCTCCACCTTCCAGTTTCAAGTGATTCTCCTGCCTCAGCCTCCCGAGTATCTGGGATTACAGGCACCCGCCATCACGCCCGGATAATTTTTGTATTTTTAGTAGAGACAGGGTTTCACCATATTGGCCAGGCTGGTCTCGAACTCCTAAACTCATGATCCGCCCACCTCAGCCTCCCAAAGTGCTGGGATTACAGGCATGAGCCACCACGCCTGGCCTTTTGGATATTTCTTTTCAGCCTTTATTCTGAGTAAGTTTTCTTGCTTTAGGTTTTGGTTTTGTAAAACAATGCAAAATACTGTTTTTGTTTTTCTTTTAACTATATTAACATAAGTGTTTTTATATTAATACAAATTCTTCAAAAATGTTATTTAATAGTTACAAATATTCCACTAAATAAAATTACTATGATGATTTTATATTTCCCCTTCATCACAGTAGACAAGCATAAAAATGATAACAAAATTATCCAATCCTCCAAGTCCTACAAAAATAATTTATTAGGGACTCTTTATAGTCTTAAATTTTCAATGTCTTTACCCAAACAGAATATAAGACTTCACGTTAGAGAAAAAAAAACATAAATGTCAGAAGTCTCTAGCACAAAGTATTAAAACACAGTGCTTTTTCAATGATCAAACGTTTGGAATCTATTAACTGATTTTTAAAGAAGTTACACTAGCATTACAAGAGAAATACAAATAATGGCCTCTATGCTATTATCTTTTTTTAAAAAAATGGATCAAAAGACATGGGTGGATTCCATAGGGATGTTTGCAAGTAAAATTCTTTGGGAATAACCGTCTCGAGGATGTTCGAGTACCAAACTTACTACCTTATTCTCAGCATAAAATAAATATTTTCTTAAAGCAACTTTAAAATAGGAATAAACATTTTGGAGAAGTTAAAAGAGAAGGAATGGCTTTCCACTTAATTCATACCTTCCCTGAAACAGGTTTAGTATGAACTCCAGACTACTGATGTTTGTTCAAAGTCTCTATTAGAATTTTGCTGTCCAACTGAGATTGTACTCCTATAGTCAATCAAATTATAATCATAAATAGTACCAAATAGGAGTATATCTTGGCCTATCCACATTTTTCTGCTCTATTTGGAGGCATGCATAATTTAGGAAAGCTTGAATTCAGTGACAATCCTCCTTTCCAAAACCAATAGGATTAGAAATTCTCTTCTATGTTGAACATTGTTTAATTAAGGAGCAGCATAACCTATTGGCAAATGACTATTATAAGGCAAATCCTATACCATAACCAAAACTATTGTTTGAAAATACTAAGTTATAATACTAAGTATACTCATCTATTGAGTCAATTAATGTATTTGTCTAGGGATATATTTCGCAGCTGAGGTAGAATACCATGAAGATGCAGAGTTGTTTTTAAAATGATATTCTCTGATGCATTTACTACAAACAAGGTCACCCGCTGATAGTTATATCATTTTCTTTATGTTCTTTGGTTCACAACTCAGATGCTTGAGCTGACTCAAAATTCCTTTTTCAGGAAAATATGGGTCCTAACAATAAATTTAACAAGTAGAAGAAAATGACTTTCATATGTATAGAAATAAAAGGCAGGCTCTCCTGTGTGCAATTTGGTTGCTTTTAATTCTAAAAATATCAAGAACCCAAAATTGTTTGCAATAAGCTATACAGAAGTCTTATCTCCAAGTCTCACCAGAATATTGTTTCACATCAGCTATCTAATTACTATCCTACACACAATTAAAGCACCAATGGTCCTCTCTAAGGTATTAAAGAGAGATGGTCAGAGATACCTTGCTACTCACGTGTGTTCTGTAGATGAGCAGCATCAACATTACCTGGGAACACGTTAATAAATGCAGATCTCAGAACCCAGGTCAGACCCACTGAATCAGAATCTTTTACATAGATTCCCCAGGTGACTCCTGGGAATATTAAAGTTTGAGAAGCACATTGACTAAATCAGTTATGTTCTTCCTCAGTTGCACATTAGAGTAACCTGGAGAGCATTATTAAAAAGATGTCTGATTCCCACCCAATGAAGTATAGTTAAAAAAAAATACACGGGATTTAAAATCAGAAAACTCAGATTTAAATAGCAGCTCACTCACACTTACTCTAATTTTATATAAATTTCATCTTTCAAGATTTCATTTCCCTCAGAGAATTATAGTGATGATAAAATGAGTAATGTGTGTGATCATATTTGTAAACTATAAAATCCTAAACCAATGCTATTGTTAATGATTTGTATGGTATAAACCCAAATAAATACGTCTGTTGATCAGATTAAAGTATGCTCTCTCTGATGTTAATTTTTCAAAGTGGTCTTTGTGGATCAATTGTATCAGTAATAACCGACACTTGTTTTAAAATGCAAAGAGCTCTTCCCTTCCTCAGACCTCATGCTCAATCTCAGGAAGGGGAATACAGAAGTTTGCATATTTAATGACCTAGCAATGTAGCGCAATTGCTTTATGAGCTAAAAGAGGAATCCCATAAGCTAAACTCATTCCTGTTACCACTATTCCAGCTAGTACTAGCATAGTTGTTGGACCTCCAACTTCTATGACCTCTTACTTTACATAATATGGGACCATTCGTTTAACTCACATACTGTGTCCTTTTCTGGATTAGTCATACTCTAGGTATGAAAAAGTACATGGAAAGGACTAATTGAACAACTGAGTTTGAGTTGATTCTCATAAGTCTATGAGTACTCATAAGTTGACAAAAACTCCTTTTTGTCACATGCTTAGTGGTGTATCTAGTGACCCTCTTGGGGAACAGAATACAGATCATCCCAACACTCCTTGTTTCCCACCTATATTTATGCCATGGCAATCCCTCCTTCCTGGATATCGGGCTTACGTCCTTTTTACTCCCTCTATCCTAATAAACTTCCTATCAGAGGGAAAAAAACTCTCTTTCACAGATTGTATTATACAAATGTCTATCTTCTATTCCATGGGGTCCACGGAGTGTGTGCTCCTAGCAGTGATGGCATATGATAACTGTGTGGTCATCAGCAAATTCCTGAGATACCCTCTCATCATAAATAAGGTGCCTTGGCTGGGCGCAGTGGCTCATGCCTGTAATCCCAGCACTCTGGGAGTCCAAGGCTGGTGGATCACCGGAGGTCAGGAGTTCAAAACCAGCTTGGCCAACATGATGAAACCCCATCTCTACTAAAAATACAAAAAATTAGCCCTGTGCAGTGGTGGGCACCGGTAATCCCAGCTACTTGGGAGGCTGAGGCAGGAGAATTGCTTGAACCTGGGAGGCCGAGGTTGCAATGAGCCAATATCATGCCACTGCACTCCAGTCTGGGCAACAAGAGCGAAACTCCACCTCAAAAATAATATAAAATAAAATAAAATAAAAAAGGTGCTTTGTGTTTTCATGGCTACTGTCTCTTATGAATTAGGATTTCTCAACAGACAAAATGTATTAATAGTTACATATGAATGCACTTTTGTGGAAAACACATCATTAATCATTTTTATAAAATATTACAGTTAATGCCTCTGGCTTGCATAGATATTTCCTTGAATGAGAATATAATAATATTGGGCAAAGTAAACTTTTCATTTACTTTATTACTACCATTTCAGTTCTTTATATTCAGTTTTTTATATTTTCACCATCTATGCTGTATTGAAATCAATTCAGCTGAAGGAAGGAAAAAGGTCTCTTCCACCTGTTCAGCCCACATAACAGTGGTGATTGTGTTTCACCGGACAATCCTCTTCATGTACATAAAGTCAACATCTAATGGCACTACTTCAGAGAAACTGGTTGACCTGTTCTGCGGGGTAGTAATGCTCATGCTCAATCTTATCATCTATAGCCTGGGGAATATGGAGGTGCTTGGGGTTATGAAGAAATTGATCAGTATGAGTAGACCCTGGTGCTGGAAAAATGATGAGAACCTGACATCTTTGAGTTCATGTACAAAATAAGCTCACATATTTTGAGGCAAGAATTTTAAATATAAATAGAACAGAAGAAATGACGATTATGTCTAGAAACAAAATTTCAGCATTAGAAAGAAATTTCAACATTAATAATCTAATATTTATCTTTAAGAAAATGACCATGACCTCATAAAAATACAGAGACAAGTAATCTAAGAAGTACATGTAAAGTTATGGGAGTCAGACAAAAAATATTTATAATTAAGCCTTTCCAAGAAAAGACAACATAAGTCCTTAACAAATAAAATATATTTGTCAGCCCTCTTTGGAATACCTTTTATATATTTATCTGTTTATGCTTATTTGTTTTTTTACCCAGGGACCTTATCTGGCCCTCACCTACATTTCTAGCTACATACTTCACCCTTTTCTGTCCATACCCATGTTGCCTCCATCCCCCTTTCCACATACTGTGTTCCATTCTCTATGTATTTACACAATTATTTCAAGCTCTTTCACACCTAAGTGCAACAGTACATGCTACTTCCTCTGCATGATAACATTTCTCCTTCTTCTCTGGTAAAATCTCAGAAGAGATGGGCAAAGTGTCATATCCTCTGCAAAGCTTTCCAATACTGTCATTAAAACAGTAAAAACAGGCCAGGTGCAGTAGCTCACACCTGTAATCCCAGCACTTTGGGAAGCCGAGGCGGGCAGCTCACGAGGTCAAGAGATAAAGATCATCCTGGCCAACATGGTGAAACCCTGTCTCTACTAAAAATACAAAAATTAGCTGGGTATGGTGGTGCGCTCCTGTAGTCCCAGCTACTCAGGACGCTGAGGCAGGAGAATCACTTGAACCCGGGAGGTGGAGGCTGCAGTGAGCTGAGATCGTGCCAGTGCACTCCAGCCTGGCAACACAGTGAGACTCCATCTCAAAAAAACGAAAAAAAAAAAAAAACAGCAATTACTTTTGCACCAACCTAATACTTATTCCCTCTTCTATGCTACCCAGACCTTTACTTCTGCTACAGTGGTCTTTCTTTTATGCTATAACCATTTGTTAGTTTCTGAAATCTTCTCAATGGCAGGACCGTGGCTCACTGTTCTCTTTATGAAGTCCAATGCCATGTTAATTTAAAATAGTAGGCAGCAATAAACTGCTGAATGAACTAATTAATTAAAATTTTAAAAGAACAGTAAAAATAAAAGTCCAAGTATTCAAACTAAAAGAAATGAACTTTATATATTATTTCATCCCCCAAACCACAACTCCAAATACTTTTGGTATAATATCAGATAATCCTTTTGTTGTTGTTCTTTGAGACAGGGTCTCCCTCTGTCACCCAGGCTGGAGTGCAGTGATGCAATCCGGGCTCACTGAAGCCTCCACCTCCTAGGCTTAAGTGATCCTCCCACCTCAGCCTCCCAAGTAGCTGGGAGTACAAGCATGCACCACCATGCCCAGACTTTTTTTTTTTTTAGTAGAGGCGGGATTTTGCCACTTTGCCCAGGATGGTCTGGAACTCCTGAGCTCAAGTGATCCACACGCCTTGGCCTCCCAAACTGCTGAGATTATAGGCATAAGCTACTGCACCTGGCCTCAGATCATCTTTTAGGGGAAACCAGGGGAAAAAAGATCGAATAAAATATACTGCAGAGGTCACTGGGTTGAGTAAGACAAAAAAGCATATCAGTATACATTATTCTCTGATAATCAACTGACACGAGATTACCGTCGATGACTAAACTTCTTTGAAAGAGCACTAATTCTTTCTCTCTGGTTCAGAAACAATAAATAACTTTATTCTAAATATTTTCCCCCTATAAAAATTTTACCCTGGGTAGATAGTGAGTTATAATTATGCAATAATGTTGCCTAAGATGTTATCACTATTCTTGTCTGTATGTTTGCCCCAATTCTGTACTACAAACTCATATTCAATTTTTAAGAACAAATTTTAAAGTAATTGCAAATATTGGGTGATGATTTTTAGAGTATATGCTAAAACACTTTGGAGTAATGTTTCTGTATTTAGCAGGAAATTCAGTTTGCAGCATATATGGAAAAACCCCGACTCAATTCAAAAAAATCAGAAGCAAAATTCTAATACTCCCTCAGAGGAATGTCAGCATAGGTAGCAGGAAAAACAACTATTCTTTTTTTTTTTTTTTTTTTTTTTTGAGACGGAGTCTCGCTGTGTCGCCCAGGCTGGAGTGCAGTGGCACGATCTCGGCTCACTGCAAGCTCCGCCTCCCGGGTTCACGCCATTCTCCCGCCTCAGCCTCCTGAGTAGCTGGGACTACAGGCGCCCACCACCACGACCCGCTGATTTTTTGTATTTTTAGTAGAGACGGGGTTTCACCGTGTTAGCCAGGATGGTCTCTATCTCCTGACCTCGTGATCCGCCCGCCTCGGCCTCCCAAAGTGCTGGGATTACAGGCGTGAGCCAAGGCGTGCAGCCAAAAAACAACTATTCTTAAACTTTATAACAATTTCTCTCTTGCTCTCCTGTCTTCCTGAAATATCTCTTAAAAGAAATTATTTCATTTCTCTCTTTTTTTTTTTTTTTTTTTTTTTTTTTTTGAGATGGAGGCTCGCTCTGTCGCCCAGGCTGGAGTGCAGCGGCGTGATCTCGGCTCGCTGCAACCTCTGCCTAGCGGATTCAAGCGATTCTCCTGCCTCAGCCTCCTGAGTAGCTGGGATTACGGGCACACACCACCATGCCCTGCTAATTTTTTGTATTTTTTAGTAGACATGGGGTTTCACCATGTTGGCCAGGCTGGTCACGAACTCCTGACCTCAGGTGATCTACCAGCCTCAGCCTCCCAGAGTGCTGGGATTACAGGCGTGAGCCACCGCTCCCGGCCGTTACTTCATTTCTTAAACTTGCACATTTATTGCAGACAGAGAAGGTTTTAAATCCTACAGCCACTTATTACATGTACAAAGTCTTGTGGCTTTTGCAGTTTGGCGAGCAGGAGGGAATAGTGCGCGGCGGCTTTTTCTCCCCTGTTGCTTGGGTGAGCAGGAGGGAGGGTTACAGTGTTGCAGGATCCCTTCAGTGCCGTTTCGCCAACCAGAAATCTCTGTGGCCGCCCTGAGCTCTGCCGGGGGCCTCACTCGGGTCCTCCGGACTCGCTCCGCCCGCTCGGCCCGGAAGGCTGTGTTCAACTAGTGCCACCAGCCCGGATCCCACACCAGCCGTGGCTCCACGCTCAGCCTGCGGCTGGACTCAGCGTGCCACAGCAGCTTCCGTGTTGGGCACTGGCGTCTAGACGAGGTGGTGGCACCCGAAAACTTGGAGATGCCAGCAACCGCAGACCCCCAAGGGATGTTACAGCTTTTGCTCTGGGAGTCCCGAGGTCTGAGCCCCCAGGAAATGTTACAGCTCTCTCTGGTTCTGCCGCCTGCAGCTCAGTGAACACGGGCATGTTACAGCTTGTTCATTCCCCAACCTCGCAGCCTCAGTGAGATCCGGGTTCCTGTCCCACAATCAAGAAGAATAAGGTGCGTGGACACCGGAGAGTGAGTAAGGCAGAGAATTTATTTAGCAACAGAAAGAAAGCTCTCAGGGCCGGGCGCTGTGGCTCACGCCTGTAATCCCAGCACTTTGGGAGGCCAAGGCGCGCAGATCACCTGAGGTCAGGAGTTCAAGACCAGCCTGGCCAACATGGGGAAACCCTGTCTCTACTAAAAATACAAAAATTAGCCAGGCGTGGTGGCAGGCGCCTGTAATCCCAGCTACTTGGGAGGTTGAGGCAGGAGAATCGCTTGACCCTGGGAGGCGGAGGTTGCAGTGAGCCAAGATCGCGCCATTGCACTCCAGCCTGAGCGACGAGAGTGAAACTCTTCTCAAAAAAAAAAAAAAAAAAAAGCTGTCAGCAAACAGGGGACCCAAGAGTGGGTCGCCGTCTGTCTGGCTGAGTCTGGCTGGTTTTTATGGGCTCAGAATGGCGAAGTGGGTGCTGATGGGGTCCATGCGTGGTCTTGGAAAAAGCACCATTCAATTGGTTAAAAGGCATTGAGGAAGTTCTCACACCGGTGGTGGACTCTATCCATCCAGCATATCCGTCTTCAGGCTTCAGGCTGTCTTTGGCTTGAAGGTCGGCTTTCACCAGGGACTCATCCCTGTCTGTGTAAGAATTTGTCTGTCCTCTGTCACTATCACTCTGAGCCTAAAACTCCTTATTTGTAAAATGTCAGTAATGTCTGTTACAGAGTTCTCTCAAACTAATGCTTGAGGGTAGGGACTGTATCCTATCCAGCATTTAGTTTCCAGCACTAGCAGAAGGACAGGCACATTCCCAATGCTGAATAAATAAGACAAAAATTTAATCAACAAAAATGAAGACAATCATATGTTATACTGTCCATCATCATTAATTAATTTTTAAAAAATTTAAATAGCATATGTAGGATACCTTGCATATGCTTTGTATTCCTTTAAATGGTGCTGAAAAAGAAATGTCTGGTCCCAATTTAAAAGTAGTTAAATAAGAATCTCTGGAGATTAGACTTCAGAATCAGTACATTTTTTAGTTTGCCAGATGATTCTAATTAAAAGCCAGATTGGCAATCACTAATCAAACTGCCTGTTATTTAAGGCTTTTCCACACTTTGGAACCATGGCATATGTTACACTCCCTGCATTGTCATATTTCATCTTCTCTGATGAAATGTTTCACCCTCTAGGGAGTCTTCCAAAACTGCCCCAGAGTAATCAAAGCCTTCCTCTCTGCAGTCCTTGCCACTTTCCCATACTGTAGTGCTTAGCTATTATATTGTAATCATTTGAGACCTTCTCAAAGTTTCCCAATGGCAGGAAACATGGTTCTATGTTTTAAAGAGAGAGACGGAGAGATGCCCAATGCCCAATAAAATAAAAATACTAGGAAGTTAATAAATGAACATATGGAAGAAAAAATTAAAAGGATAATAAAAATTCAGTCCAAGAAACACATGTAACACATGGAATAAAAGAGAATGGGAGAGTAACGTCAGCAGGATGGCCAACTAGACGTGCCTAATTATCATTCCTACCACAGAAAGGGACCAAGACAATGAATAAACAACTACATTTCAACAAGAATGATTAAAAGAGCGTGCCGGAGTACATCAAGGAAGTGGTAGAAACTTTATAAAACACAGAAACTCAGGCTGACTGCATAGAAAAGGGAACAAAACACCCTGCCTCTGCCACCTCATCTGCCCATATGGGATCAGCTGGAAACCAGGAGGGACTTCTCTGCCGGGAAAAGGTAAGCAGGAAGCCTGCAGCAACTCCCATTACCACCACTGCAGTCTTTGCTATGAGAAAATCCTACAGTCCTCATGGAGCCTGAACCCAATTTAAGGGAGCTGCCTGGAATTCAATTCTACTCCAGCAAACAAGCCCATGTTGTGCCCCACCCCACCCACCCTCGTGTCCCAAGCTGCCACTGGACTTGCCATCTTGAAATGGAAGCCACTGCCTCTGGGGGTCAGTAGGCACTGCACCTCTCCATTTCTGAGTCTCCACCATCACTGCACCATGCTCACACATGGTAGTACGCCATTTATCAGCTGGGCTCACCAACCCCTGGAAACAGGCTGCCTAGGAGACACTCCATCTTCCCCATTTCAGTGGCTGCTGCACTCCACTCCTGACTATTCAAAGCCTTGGCATCCCATCCCCAGGAAAGCAGTGCCTGAGCCAGCAGAGTTGCCATGACCCACCAGCATGTAAACCAGCCTTGTGCCCCTCTGCTGGGGAAGCCACATCCAACGTGGTGAAGCAGTTCTGCAGCCTTGGTGCCCAAGCCAACCTGATGCCTCAAGCCCAGAAAACTAGAGCTATGGCCCAGGAAAGCAGCTGCAATTGCAGTGCCCAAGCCCACACAGTACCCTGCCTCTTGGGGACCAGGCTCCCCAGCCCAGTAGAGAACCCACACCCAAGCCAGCAGAGCAGTCATGCCTTCTCAGCACCTGCACCAGCCTGGTACCTCGACCCCAGAGGACTGGAGCTTTGGCTCAGGGAAGCAACTTTGACCCTGTACCTGAGCCCCTGTAGCACCCTGCTCCTTAGGGACCAGGCACTCCAGCACGGCTAAGAAACTGCACCCAAGCCAGCAGAGCAGTCAAGCCTCCTCAGCGCCCTGAACCAGCCCAGTGCCTCAGCCCCAGGGGAATGGAGCTTTAGCCCAGGAGAACAGCTGCAAACTTGATGCATGAGCCCAGCCCCCAAGGGAAACATAACTTTGGCTGACCTGTATCACCCCCACCTTAGGGCTGAACAACCACAGTGCCCTACCTCAATGGATCTGGACCAGCCCTCCAAAGTCTGTGCTGCTGAGGTGCACCATCTCCCTGGAGAATAAAGACAACATTGCACTGCTCCTCATCCATGGAGCTGAAGCCACAGCTGCTCCACACAACTCCTTGCTGCCAAGAAATGGGCCCTTGTTGCTACTGTATTCAGCTCCACAGAGCCTAACCCCTGCTGTGTCGCACCATTACAGGATCCACAGTCACCACTATGCAGTACCCTCTCTCTTGGTGTCCAAGTTGCCACTGTGGCCTCTTGTCTCCAGAATTCAAATTACAGATTGCCTTGCTCCCCAAATGTGAGCCTCTGGAACACACCTTCATCCCTGGAACCATGCCAGCCCTATACTCTGATCCCCAGAATCAGAGTCACAGCTATATCCCTACCCCATGAAACCAAACTGCTGGGGAGTGTCTCATAGTCACAGTCCTTGGCTTGATGGAAAAGCTTCAGCCACCCATGCCTAAGAGAGTAAACCTGCACCCATGTCACAGGTTCAACAGTAGTTCAACAAGACACAATCCACAGCCACTCCAACCACCTGTGTGGTGAAACACAGCCTTGTTGTGGCTTCCAGTGGCCAATGTCAGATAACACATCAAGAGAGATCCCCTAAGCTAAGTCTCCCCACTGTGAAGAAAATGAAAACACGAAGATCTCTAAAGCCTTTGCCACCAAGAACCCTAACATTCTACCTTGCCACCACTGCTGCCAGTTTCCTGCAGCCTAGGCCACTAAGGTACCTACAGTCATCACTGACATTGATTATAGCTGAAAAAACCTCATGGAGACTACAGTACTATGCCCACCCAGACCCACACTCTACCCAAATGACAGTCAACACACTCTATCCAATTGACACAATAAGACCCATCTTCAAGGGAAAGTCTTCCCCTATAAAAGCTATTGTATAAAATTAAAAGGCAACTGTTTCATCAGATACACAGAGATCAATACAGGGACACAAGAAACATGAAAAAAAAAAAAAAGAAGGAAACATGACACCACCAAAGGAAAACAATATTTCTCCAGTGGCTGACCGCAAAAGAAATGGAAATATATAAGCTGCCTAAAAAGAAATTCAAAACAATTTTCTTAAGGAAACTCAGTGAGATCAAGAGAACACAGAAGACAAGTCAATGAAATCAGGAAAACAGTTTGTGATCTACATGAGAAATTCAACAAAAATATAGATTTAAAAAAAAAAAGAACCAAACAGAAATCTAGAAGCTGAATAAGTCAATGAATAAAATAAAAAACCTAATTTAGAGCTTCAACAGCAGACTAGATGAAGCTGAAGAAATAATTTCTGAACCTGAAGACAGGTCTTTTGAAATAATCCAGTTGGGGAAGGGGAGAAAGAATGAAAAAACATGAAAAAAATCCTCCTTGGCCGGGCGCGGTGGCTCACGCCTGTAATCCCAGCACTTTGGGAGGCCGAGGCGGGCGGATCACGAGGTCAGGAGATCGAGACCATCCCGGCTAAAACGGTGAAACCCCGTCTCTACTAAAAATACAAAAAATTAGCCGGGCGTAGTGGCGGGCGCCTGTAGTCCCAGCTACTTGGGAGGCTGAGGCAGGAGAATGGCGTGAACCCGGGAGGCGGAGCTTGCAGTGAGCCGAGATCCCGCCACTGCACTCCAGCCTGGGCGACAGAGCGAGACTCCGTCTCAAAAAAAAAAAAAAAAAAAAAAAAATCCTCCTTATGGGACTATGGAGCGCCATTAAGCAAACAAATACTGCATTATGAGAAGAAATTGAGAAAGGCACAGAAAGGTTATTTAACAAAATAATTGCTAAAAACTGAGTCTCGGTAGAGATATACACATTCAGATCTGTAATACATGTATGCAATTCAATAAATGTGATGCCTCATATGAACAGAATGAAGGACAAAAAACTGTGATTATGTTAATTGATGCCAAAAATCATTTGATAAAATTTTACATTCCTTAATAACAAAATCTCTCAAAAGAGTCATATACAACAGATCCACAGCTAGTATTATGTCGAATGAGGACAAACTGAAAGCTTTCCCTGTAAGGTCTGAAACAAGATAAAGATGCCCACTTTCACCAATTTCATTTAACATGGTACTAGAAGTCCTATCCAGAGCAATTAGACATGGGAAACAAATAGAGAGCAACAAAATAGGAAAGGAATAAGTCAAAGTTTCCTTCTTAGCAGATGACATAATCTTATATTTAGAAAAACCTAAAGATGTTATCAAGAAATTCTTACAACTGATAAACAAATTCAGTAAAGTTTCAGAATACAAAATTAACATGAAAAAAATCAGTAAAATTTCCATATGCCAGCAGTGAAAAATCTGAAAAATAAATTAAGAACGCAATCCTATTTACAATAGCTGCAAAATATATAAAATATATAGGGATAAACTTAAAGAAGTAAAATAGCTCTATAATGAAAACTATAAAACATTGATAGAAGAAATTGAAGAGGACACAAAAAATAGAAAAATATTTCATATTCATGGATTGGAAGAATCAATATTGTTAAAATCTTCATACTACACAAAATCATCTACAGATGCAATTCCTATCAAAATACCAATGTCATTCTTCAAAGAAATAGAAGAAACAATCCTAAGCTTCACATGGAACTACAAAAGAACTAGAATGATCAAAGCAACCCTGAGCAAAAGAACAAAGCCATAGGCATCACTCTACCTGATTTCAAATTATATTACAAAGTTATAGTAACCAAAACAGCATGGTACTGGCATAAAAACAGACATGAAGACCAATGGAACAGAACAGAGAACCCATAAATCACACATTTACAGTCAACTCATTTTATCTGAATAGGCATTTTTCAAAAGATATACACATGGCCATCAGGTATATGAAAAAATGCTCAACCTCACTAATCATCACGGGAATGCAAATTAAAGACACGATAAAAAATTATTCCAGTTAAAATGGCTGTCATCAAAAGACAAAAACAATACATGCTGACAAGGCTGCAGAGAAAGAGGATCTCTTGTATACTGTTTGTGAGAATGTAAAGTAGTACAGCCATTATGGAAAACAGTATGAAGGCTCCTCAAACAAATAAAAATGGAGCTTCTATATGATTCAGCAATTCCATACCTGGATATATATCAGGTATATATCCAAAATAAAGGAAATCAACATACTGAAAAAAAATCTGCACTCCCACGTTTATTGCAGTACCAATCGCAATAGCCAAGATACGGACTCAACCTACGTGTTCATTGATAAATTAATGGATAAGAAACTGTAGTATACACTGGCCCCACAGAAATACAAACAACCATTAGAGAATATTATGAACACTTTCTGCACACAAACTAGAAAATCTAGAAGAAATGGATACATTCCTAGACACATACACCCTCTGAAGACTGAACCAGGAAGAAATTGAATCCCTGAACAGACCAATAATAAGCTCTGAAATTGAGTCAGAAATAGTCTACCAACATAAAAAAAGCCCAGGACCAAACAGACTTAGAGCTGAATTCTACAAGATGTACAAAGAATAGCTGGTACCATTCCTGCTGAAACTATTCCAAAAAATTGAGGAGGATGGACACCTCCATAACTCATTCTAAGAGGCCAGCATCATCCTGATAGCAAAACCTGGCAGAGACACAACAAAAAAAGAAAACTTCGGGTCAATACCCTTGATGAACATCAATGTACACATCCTCAACAAAATACTTGCATACCAAATCCAGCAGCACATCAAAAAGCTTATCCACCACAATCAACTAGGCTTTATCCCTAGGATGCAAGGTTGGTTTGACACATGCAAATAAATAAATGTGATTCATCACATAAATGAATTTGACACCCCTTCACATTAAAAACTCTCAATAAACTAGGTATTGAAGGAACACACCTCAAAATAATAAGAGCTGTCTATGACAAACCCACGGCCAACATTATACTGAATGAGCAAAAGCTGGAAGCATTCCCCTTGAAAACCAGCACAATACAAGCATGCCCTCCCTCACCACTCCTATTCAACATAGTACTGGAAGTCCTGGCCGGCCAGGGCAATCAAGCAAGAGAAATAAATAAAGGGTATCCAAATAGGAAAAGAGGAAGTCAAACTGAGAGGTGAAGCCAGCTGGGCTTCTGGGTCGGGTGGGGACTTTGAGAACTTTTGTGTCTAGCTAAAGGTTTGTAAACGCACCAATCAGCACTCTGTAAAAACCCACCAGTCAGCACTCGGTGTCTAGCTAAAGGTTTGTAAATGCACCAATTAGCATTCTAGAAAAGGACCAATCAGCACTCTGTAAAATGGACCAATCAGCGCTCTGTAAAATGGACCAATCGGCAGGATGTGGGTGGGGCCAAATAAGGGAATAAAAGCTGGCTACCCCAGCCAGCAGCGGCAACCCGCTGGGGCTCCCTTCCGCTCTGTGGAAGCTTTGTTCTTTCGCTCTTCACAATAAATCTTGCTGCTGCTCACTCTTTGGGTTCACACTACCTTTTATGAGCTGTAACTCTCACTGTGAAGGTCTGTGGCTTCACTCCTGAAGTCAGCAAGACCACAAACCCACCAGAAGGAAGAAACTCCAGACACATCTGAACATCAGAAGGAACAAACTCCGGACACACCATCTTTAAGAACTGTAACCCTCACCACGAGGGTCCAGAAGGAAAAAACTCCAGACATATCTGAACATCAGAAGGAACAAACTCCGGACACACCATCTTTAAAAACTGTAACACTCACCACGAGGGTCTGCAGCTTTATTCTTGAAGTCAGTGAGACCAAGAACCCACCAGAAGGAACCAATTCCAGACACAAAACTATCCCTGTTTGCAGACAACATGATTCTATATCTAGAAAACCCCATAGTCTCAACCCAAAACATTCTTAAGCTGATAAACAACTTCAGCAAAGTCTCAAGATACAAAATCAATGTGTAAATATCACTAACATTCGTACACACCAATTCCAGTCAAGCCAAAGCCAAATCAGGACTCATTCCCATTCACAAATGCCAAAAAAAGAATAAAATACCTAAGAATACATCTAACCAGGAAGGTTAAAGATCTCTATAAGAAGAATTACAAAACACTGCTCAAAGAAATCAGAGAAGACACAAACAAATGGGAAAACACTCCATGTTCATGAATAGGAAGAATCAATATCATAAAATGGCCATATTGCCCAAAGTAATTTATAGATTCAATGCTATTCCTGTTAAACTACCATTGAGATTCTTCACAGAACTGAAAAAAAAAAAAAACTACTTTAAAGTTCATATGGAACCAAAAAAGAGCCTGAATAGCCAAGGCAATCCTAAGCAAAAATAACAAAGCTGAAGGCATTGTACTACCTGACTTCAGACTATACTACCGGGCTATAGCAACGAAAACAGCATGGTAAGGGTATGAAAACAGACCTATAGACCAATGGAACAGAAGAGGGAGCCCAGAAATGAGGCTGCACACCTATAGCTATCTGATCTTCAACAAACCTGACAAAAACAAGCAATGGGGAAAAGATTCACTATTCAATAAATGGTGTTGGGATAACCAGCGAGCCATATGCAGAAGATTGAAACTGGACCCCTTTCTTATATCATATACAAAAAATTAACTCAAGATGGATTAGAGACTTAAATGTAAAGCACGAAACTATAAAAGCTCTGGAAGAAAACCTAGACAATACTATTCAGGACACAGGCCACAGGCACAGGCAAAGATTTCGTTACAAAGATGCCAAAAGCAATTGCAACACAAGCAAAAATTGACAAATGGGATCTAATTAAACTAAAGAGCTACTGCACAGCAAAACAAAATTATATATATAAACATATATAAAATTATATACATAATAAAATTATATATATATTATATATGTATATATAAACAGAGTGAACAGACAGCCTGCAGAATGGGAGAAAATTTTTGCAAACTATGCAACTGACAAAGGTCTAATATCTAGTATCTATAAGAAACTTAAATTTACGAGAAAAAAGAAAAAACCCCATGAAAAAGTGGACAAAGGACATGAACAGACACTTTTCAAAAGAATATATACATATGGCCAACAATCATGAAAAAGATGCTCAACATCACTGATTATTGGAGAAATACAAATCAAAATCACAATGAGGTACCATCCCACACCAGTCAGAATGGCTACTAATAAAAAGTCAAAAAATAACAGATGCTGGTGAGGTTGTAGAGAAAAAGGAATGTTTATACACTGTTGGTTGGAGTGTAAATTAGTTCAACCATTGTGGAAGATAGTGTGGTGATTCCTCCAAGATGTAAAGACAGAAATACCATTCAACCCAGCAACCCATTACTGGGTATATATTTGAAGGAATATAAATTGTTCTATTATAAAAACACTTGCACATGTATGTTCATTGCAGCACTATTCACAATAGCAAAGACATGGAATCAACCTAAATGTTCATCACTTATAGACTGGATAATGAAAATGTGGTACATATACGCCACGGAATACTATGCCACCCTAAAAATGAATGAGGTCATGTCCTTTGCAAGAACATGGATGGAGCTGGAGGCCATTATCCTTATCAAACTAATGCTGGAATAGAAAACTGAATACCACATGTTCTTCATAAGTGGGAGCTAAATGATGAGAACACATGGACATACAGAGAGAAACAACATACACTGGAGCCTATTGGAGGGTGGAGGGTAGGGGTACACGGAGAGGATCAGGAAAAATAACTATGGGTACTAGGCTTAATGCCTGAGTGACCTAATAATCTGTACTACAAACTCCCATGACACAAGTTTACCTATATAACAAACTTGTACAGGTACCCCTGAAATTAGAATAAAAGTTTAAAAAAAAGAAAATGTGGTATATACACGATGAAATATTACTCTGCTATAAATGAAATTATGTCACTTGCAGCAAAATGGATAGAATTGGAGGACCTTATGTTCAGTAAAATAAGACACAGAAAGAAAGATGTTGTATGAATAGAATGGTAGTTACCAGAGGCTGGGGAGGGGAAATGAAACAAATTTGCTTAATAACTGTATAAAAATACAGTATGGGGCCAGGCATGGTGGTTCACACCTGTAATCCCAGCACTTTGGGAAGCTGAGGCAGGCAGATCACGAGGTTAGGTGATCGAGACCATCCTGGCCAACATGGTGAAACCCCGTCTCTACTAAAAATTAGCTGGGCATAGTGGTGCATGCCCGTAATCTCAGCTACTCCAGAGGCTGAGACAGGAGAATCGCTTGAACCAGCGAGTTGGAGGTTGCAGTGAGCCGAGATCGTGCTGCTGCACTCCAGCCTGGTGACAGAGGAAGACTCGGTCTCAAAAAAAAAAAAAAAAAATACAGTATGATAGAAGGAATAAAATCTAGTGCTTGGTAGCACAATATGGCAACTATAATTAACAATAATTTATTGTATATATCACACAATAACTAGAATAGATTTCCAATATTCCCAATACAAAGATTTAATGAATATTTGATGTTGAGTATCCCAGTTACCTAGATTTGATCTATACTGTGCATTTGTATCAAAAGATTACATAAACCCATAAGTACATACAATTATCATGTATCCATAAAAACAAAAAATTAAATAAAATTTTTAAAAAATGAAAAAATATTTTCCCAACATGCAAAAATGAAAGGCATTTTTCACTACTATACCAGCCTTACAAGAAATGCTTAAGAAAGTGCTCCAACTGGAAGTGAAAGGACAATAATCACTGTCATGAAAACATATGAAAGTATAAAACTCACTGGTAGAGATAAATTCATAATCAAATTCAGAATACTGCATTACTGTAATGGTGATGTATAAATCTTTCAAATATCTAGTACGAAAGTTAAAAGTCAGTATGGTCTAAAATAACTATAGCAACAATAGGTTGTTAAAGAATAGAAAATGTAGGCCGGGCACCGTGGCTCACGCCTCTAATCCCAGCACTTTGAGAGGCCGAGACAGGCGTATCATGAGGTCAAGGGTTTGAGACCAGCCTGGCCAACATGGTGAAACCCCTCTTTTTTTTTTTTTAATTATACTTTAAGTTTTAGGGTACATGTGCACAACATGCAGGTTAGTTACATATGTATACATGTGTCATGTTGGTGTGCTGCACCCAGTAGCTCATCATTTAACATTAGGTATATCTCCAAATGCTATCCCTACCCCCTCCCCCCACCCCACAACAGGCCCCAGTGTCTGATGTTCCCCTTCCTGTGTCCATGTGTTCTCATTATTCAATTCCCACCTGAGTGAGAACATGCGGTGTTTGGTTTTTTGTCCTTGTGATAGTTTGCTGAGAATGATGGGGTGAAAACCCTCTCCACTAAAAATACAAAAATTAGCTGGGTGTGGTGGCAGACACCTGTAATCCCTGCTACTTGGGAGGCTGAGGCAGGAGAATTGCTTGAACCCGGGAGGCAGAGGTTGCGGTGAGCTGAGATCACACCACTGCACTCCAGCCTGGGCAACAGAGCAAGGCTCCATTTTGGGAAAAAAAAAAAAAAAGAATAGAAAATGTAAAAAGATAAAAATTGCAGCAATGAAAATATAAATTATTGGGAGAGGGCAAAAGTCTGGAATATTTGTGTGTGACCAAAGTTCCGTTGTTACCAGCTTAAAATAATCTATTACAACAACAAGATTTTTAAATGTAAGCCTCATAGTAACCAAGAAGCAAAAAATAATAGCAGATATACAATAAGAAAGAGAAAAAAATCAAAGCTTAGCACTCCTGAAAATTACTAAAGCACAAAGGTAAGCAACAAGAGAGGGAAAAAGAAACAAAGAATCTATAAAATGATCAGAAAATGATAAACAGAATGGCAGGAGTAGGTTCTTACCTATCAATAACAACCTTGAATATAAATGGATTAAATTCTCTAATCAAAAGACAGGTGGCTGAATGGGTTTTAAAAAAGATCCAACTATATGCTCCTTATAAGAGAACCATTTTAGTTTTAAGGGCACATGTAGACTGAAAAGTAAAGGGATGGAAGAAGATATTCCATGGAAATAGTAACCATAACAATTATAAGTAGATATGCACCCAACATTGAAGCACCTAAAGTTATAAACAAATATTAATGAACAAGAACAAAGAAATAGCCAAACAATAATAGCAAGAGACTTCATTACTCTTCTTTCAACAATAAACAGACCAACCAAACAGAAAGTTAACAAGGAAATACTGGATTTCAGCTACACTTTGACCAAATGGACCTAACAAATATATATAGAACTTTTCATCCAACAGCACCAGAATATACCTTTTTTTCTAGTGTGTATGGAACATTCTCCAGAATATACCATGTGTTAGGCCACAAAACAAATCTTAACAAATTCAGAAAAATTAAAATCATATCTAGAATTTTTTCCTGATCACAATAGTATGAAACTAGAAATAAATAATAGGAGGAACCTTAAAAATTTTACTAATATGTGTAAATTAAACAACATGTTCTGGAACAACTACTGGATCAAAGAAGAAATCAAAAAGAAAATTTTAAAAATAACTTACAGCCTAGGCAACAAAGGAAAACCCATCTCTACAAAAGTGAAAAACATTAGCCAGATGTGGTGGCACATGCCTATAGCCCCAACTACTTGGGAGGCTGAAGTGAGAGGGTCACTTGAGGCTGGGAGGTCTAGGCTGCAGTGAGCTGTGATCACAGCACTGCACTCCAGTCTGGGTGACAGAGCAAGATCCTGTTTCAAATATATATACACATACATATACATATATATATGTATGTGTATATATACACATATGTACATATATACATATACATATATACACATACATATACATCTATACATGTGGGTATATATACACATGTACATGTATGCACATGTATATATACATATGTACATATGTGTATGTACATATATCTATACATACATATGTATATGCGTGTATGTATAAACACATGCATATATACATATAAATATATTTGGTATGTTGCGTTTCCATTGTCATGTGTCTCAGATAGATATAGAGATAGATAGATAGATATAGAAAGAGATATATAAAATATATCCTAGACATATGACAATAGAAACACAACATACCAAATCTATGGGATGCAGCAAAAGCAGTTCTAAAAGGAATGTTTATAGCCATAAATGTCTACTTAATGTAGGCATTTATTCAAAAATGAAGAAAGATCCCAAATAAATAGCCTAGCATTATATCTCAAGGAGCTAGAAAAAGAACAACAAAGTAAACCCAAAATTGACAGAAGGAAGGAAATAGTAAAAGTCAGAACAGAAATAAATCAAATGGAAAACAGAAAAAACATATGAAAGTCAATAGAACAAAAATTTGATTATTTGAAAAATTGAACAAAATTGACAAACCTCTAGCTAGACTAAGAAATACAGGAAAGACTTAAATGAAATGAAACGTGAGTGAAAACATTACAACAGGTGCCTCAGAAATGAAAAAAATCATAAGAAACTATTATAAACAATTATATACCAACAAATTTAACAACCTAAAGGAAATTGATACATACATTTCTAGAAAAATATAACATTCCAAGATTGAGTCAGGAAGAAATAGAAAGCTTGAACAGACAAATAACAAATAAAGGAATTGAAAATCATTTAAATCCTCCCAATAAAGAAAAGCAGGAAGATTTCATGGTTGAATTCTACCACATATTCAAATAATTACTACCAATACTTCTTAAACCTTCATTAAATAGAGCTAGAGGGAATACTTCCAAAAATATTTTACAAGACCAGCATCACCCTGATATATATGCCACACAAGGACACTGCAAGAAAAGACAACTATAGGCCAATACCTCTGATGAACATCAGTGCAAAAATCCTCCATAAAATATTAGCAAACCAAATTCAACAACACATCAGAAAGATTATGCATCATGACCAAGTAGGACTTTTCGTTGGCATTCAAGTCTGGTTTAACATATGCAAATCAATCAAAGTGATACATCACATTAACAGAATAAAAGATAAAAACCATATGATCATCTCAACTGACATGGAAAAAGCATTTGACAATATTCGTCATCCTTTCTTGATAAAAATCCTTCACAGTTTAGTACAGAAGGAAAGATCTTCAACATAATAAAAGCCACTTATAAAAAAAAACTACATCTAACATCATAATCAATGGGGCACAACTGAAAGCTTTTCTGCTAAGATCTGGTAAAAGGCAGAGATATTCACTTTCACCATTTCTATTCATTATAGCACCATTAGTACTAGCAAGTACAGTCAGACAAGAAAAAAAATAAAAGGTATCCAAATAAAAAGAAACAAGTAAAATTATCTCTATTTGCAGATGACCTAATTCCATATGTCAGAAGTTAATCTAGCTAGAACTAACTAGAACCCCAAAGATTCTACCACAAAAAGTGTTAGAACTAATAAATGAATTCAACAGTTACAAAGTACAAAAATAACATAAAAAATCAGTAGCATTTCTATACACAAATAACAATCTAACTGAAAAAAAATCAAGAAAATCATATTATTTATGACAGTATACAAAAATTGAGAAATAAATTTAACAAAGGAGGTAAAATAATTTTATACTAAATACTGTAAAACATTGATGAAAGTAATCAAAGAAGACACAAGTAAATGGAAAGATACCCCACATTCATAGATGGAACAGATTAATATTTTTAAAATGTCCATACTACCCAAAGCAATATATAGATTTAACACAATTTCAATCAAAATTCCAATGGCATTCTTCAGAAACAATTGTTTTAACTCCTGTTATAATATGGAACCACACACACAAGCACACACACATGCGTGCACACACCCACACACACACAGCCAAAGCAATACTGAGGGGAAAAAAGCAGGTTAGAGGCATCACAGTTCCTGATTTAAAATGTATTACAAAGCTATAGTAATCAAAACCATATGGTACTTGCATACAAACAGAAAGAAAGATCAATTGAATAAAACAGAGTTCCCAGAACTAAATCCAAACACGTATGTCAACTAATTTTTAACAAGGGTACCAAGAGGACACAACAAGGATTGGGTAGTTTTTCAACAAATGGTGCTGAGAAAACTGGATTTCTACGGGCAAAAGAATGAAATCGGACTCTTACACCACACACAAAATTCAACTCAAAATGAATAAAATACCTAAATGTAAGACCTGAAATCATAAAATACCTAGAAAAGAACATAGGGAAAAGCTCCTCAACATTGGTCTTGGCAATGAGTTTTTGTATATCATACCAAAAGTTCTTACTGCAAAAATAAAAATAAATAAGTGATATTAAATCTAACAAAAAACACATTTTTATAGAAAAGGAAACAATCAGCAAAACGAAAGGCAACCTACTGACTGGCAAAAATAATTGCAATTGATAAGGGGTTAACATCCAAAATTTATAAGGAACTGTTGCAACTCAATGGCAGAAAAATGAATAACCTGATTTTAAAATGGGGAAGGAACTTAGACATTTTTTAAAGACATAAAAATGGCCAATAGGTATATGAAAATGTGTTCAACACTACTAATTATAAAGGAAATGCAAATTAAAACACCATGAGATATCACCTCACATCTGTGTGATTGGCTATTATCAAAAGATAAGAGATAACAAATGTTGGCAAGGGTGTGGACAAAAGGGAACCCTAGTTCACTGTTGGTAGGAATGTAGACTGGTATAGCCATTATGGAAAACACTGTGGAGGTTCTAAAGAAATTAAAAATAGAACTACCATATGACCCTGCAATCCCTCTTCTGGGTCCATACCCAAAGGAAATAAAATCGCCACCTGGTAGATATCTGTACTACTGTGTTCATTGCAGCATTATTCACAATAGTCAAGATACAGAAACAGCCTAAATGCCCACTGATGGGTAAAGAAAATGTGATGTCTATCCACAATGAAATATTATTCAGCCTTTTAAAAAAAGAGAGAGAGAGAGAGAGATTCTGTCATTTGCCACAACATGGAGGGACCTGAAGGACATTACAGTAAGCCAGACATAGAAAAATATTGCAGGATCTTATTCATTTGTGGAATTTTTTTTTGAAAGAAAGGTCATATACACAGAGATGGAGAATGGAACATTGGTAACCACAGGTGGGAGGAGATGGGATGGAAAAGAATTGGGGAGATGAAGATCAAAGGATACAAAATAGCAGATATGTAAGATGAGCAATTCTAGACATACAATGTGAGTACTGAAGTTAATAAAATTCATTGTATTGGGGTTTTTTGTTTAAATAAGTAGATTGTATCTGTTCTTGTCACACAAAATAGTAACTATGCAAGATGGTTTATTAATCAGCTTCACTATAGTAACCATTTACCATCTATATATATATCCCAAAACATCATGTTGTAAACCTCAAACCCCAAAAAAAATTATTTAAAAAAAAGAGTAAGATTTATTTAGATTTTTAAATTCCCAAACAAAAATGTCAAATGCTTTGGCAGAGGAGGGGAAAAGCAGCTAATCTTTAAGCCTAAAAAAGAGAAAAGGAAGTAAAAGAATTTAATAAAATACACTAAAGAGGTCATTAGGTCTGAGTAAAGCAAATATTCACATCAACATTTATCTCTAATATTAAGTTAAAGAGAAAATATATTAGTTGACTAAAGTCTACTTGGAGAATATTGGCAATTCTCTCTGTTTCAAAAGCAATATATGATCTTATTCATAATGTTTTTCTTGCATAACAATTTCCACTTGGAATGATTTTTGAGTTGTAATATATGGTGATGTTTCTTAAGATAGCATCGCCCCTCTAATTGTATATTCCTATCCCAATTCTGCACTATAAACTCAGATTGTAAGAGTAAATTTTTAAGTAATTTTATATATACGGTGGTGATTTCTAGAACACGGTCAACACACCTTGGAAAATAAAAGTTGTTTTTTGTTTATTTTTGGTTTTGCCACAGAGGAAATTCAATTTGTAGCACAGATGAAAAGACTGATTCAAAATCCAAATTCAGAATCACCCAGCACTTTGGGAGGCCAAGACAGGAGGATGGCTTGAGCTCAAGAGTTGGCTGACTGCCTGCGGAACATAGCAAGACCTCATCTTTACATTAAAAAAAGAAAAGAAAAGAAAAGGAAAAAAAAAACTGAAAATTAGCCTGGGCAAGGTGACATGTACCTCTGGTACTAGCTACTCAGAAGGCCGAATTGGGGGTTTGAGGGGAATATTGCTTAAGCCCAGGAATTCCAGGCTGCAGTGAGATATGATCACACCATTGCATTCCAGCCTAAGAGACAGAGCAAGACCCTGTCTCTAAAATTCAGAATCAAAATTGCAATTCTCCTTCAGAGAAATATCAGCATCATTAATAGGCAAAATAACCTTTTTTATAATAATTTTTTAAGAATGTCTCACAGTTCCTCTTGTCCTCCTGAAATACTTCCTTGTATTTAATTTATTCCTCAAACTGACTCTGAAATTAATATAGGAAATATAGATAAACAACAGACTTAAACGGTGGCTGCAATTTACGACCTGTGTGACTTTTATATAAGCCTAAATTTTCTTATCCACCTTATAGAGCCATCTGGAGCTAATCCCAGAATGCAGAGAAAATATCATATCCAGAATTGAATCCCCAGCCCCTAACATGCACTTACACAGTGCTGAATACATGAGAGCAGTAATCAACATAAAAATGAAGGCAACACACATATTACATTATTTATAGGCATTACTTAATGAAAACAATTTTTAAAAGACAATTTACATATGACAGCTAGTACACCACATGGTATATGTAACGCATTAATTAAGTAATATTGCCTAACCCATCCATTGTTTTTCTCATTTGCTCTCTGATTCTTGAAATTAAGGACATTAAGCAAGGATTCTGGTGTCTGTATCTGAATGAGGCAATGAGAGACAATTATTTGTTGCACTTGCCACCAGCATTAATTAATGAATAAGAACTTAAAAGATAATATGTAAATTACCTAGTTACCTAACACATTTTATGGTAATATTATGCATTATTTAAATATGACTTCTCATCTCCCCCCTTATCTTTCTCATTTGTCCTCTGAGTTCTGGAAATAAAGTAGTTAATCATAAATTCCTGGTGGTTTGAATAAGGCACAGAGAGGAGGGAGCATTAGCAGGAAGTGATCAAAGAGGACTGCTAAAGGAGATGAACTCTGAGGGTCAGTTTTCATTTTGCCTGCTCAAGGAAGGAATGGGCTACAGGTGAACTAAGGGTGGAAAGAGACTAAAAGGCTAGATTTTTATTTAGAGGATGAAAATAAAATATAACGAGACCCTCCCATGAGCCATCTGCTTTCACATAATGCCTCATTTAACCTTTAATGGGCTAATAAAACACTCAAATCTATTGAATTATTCCATGCTATTTAACACTTATGATATGCTCACCTCTGGCCTCAGGGGGATTTCAAATTTTTTATTCATTGTCTCATATTCTCCATTGGAAATATCAGTCTACTTTGATTTTGAGGTGTATTAGGAAATCATATAGGTCGGATCAGCATGGAAGCCAACACAGAGAAAGAGAGAGGTACACTCTAGTCATAAAATGTAAAGGGGAGGACTTCCGATTTCTGTTGCTGTCACTTTGGCTGAATAAGCTCCTATCAGACCCAAGCACCTCAGAAATGACAACTACAAACTCTCTGCAAAATTTTTTAAGAGTATCACTTAGAAGAAGTAACATTTTGGTGTGAGTTTCACATTTTTATGGCTATAGACTGACTAGGCACAGCATAGGTTTGGAAATTCTGATAATAAAATGGCTCTTTATGGACAAACCAGCAGAATTCTGGAGAAACAGCCACCATAAAGTAAGGGAGGAATTCCAGAACGCAGATTCCCAGCAGAGGAAACATCAAATTCTGTGTAAAAACTTGCCCCAGTTCTCTGATTGACCCCTGCACCATAAAGGCACAATCCAGCTAAATACCAATATGTATATATACAGGGATCCCTTGGTATCTGTGAGGGATGGATTCCAGGACTCCCATGGATACCCAAATCCATGGATGTTCAAGTTCCTTATATAAGATGGCAAAGTATTTGCACAGAATCCACACTCATTTTCTCATATACTTTGAATCATCTCTAGGTTACTTATAATACCTACTACTATGTAAATGCTATGTAAACACCTGTTAAGCTGTATTTTTAATTCATATTATATTGTTATTTCTATTGGCTTTTGCCTGAATATTTTTGATCCAAATTTGTTGAATCCAAGTTACGTGAAACCCATAAGCATGGAGGGCTGACTGTAAAAACATAAATATAGATATAGAGATAGAGATAGAGATCTTGAACTGAGATGTGTATTGGTAACAAAAAGATCAAGTTTGTAGTTGGAGTCCAACCTGATTGCCCCTAAAGCAAAAACATCAAAACCATTTAGAGGAATGTAATGGTATTCAGAGCCTCCACAATATTGTTCTAGGACAACCAGGTTTGCCTGTCATATGGGTAACAGACCAATGCACCGAAACAGTGGGAGTTGCAGCAGAGAAAGAGTATAATGATTGTATGGTAGCCAAATAAGAAAGTGGAAAGGAACCTTAAATCCACCTCACCAAGGAGTTTTGGCCTAGAATTTTTAGGGAATTTTGGCAAATAGGGGGCTGAGGAGCTAATTGCTTAGGGTGTGTGGAATGCAATCTTTAATAAAGATGTAAAAACTACATTTTGGGGCTGAATTACTTCCTCAGAGAGGGTCTTCAGACTGGCTGGCATCGATGGACCCATTGGAATGCAGGATCTGGAAAATATCTCAAAATGGAAAACTTGACATTTCTTAACATTAAAGATGTTATCTACAGAAGTTAGGACCTTATGGCAGGGGCTATGTGACTTTTAAGTAGTAATCAGCTGTACAGAAGTGGGCCATAGAGCAGTCTGGTTAATGCTTTGCTATGTTTCTACTTAAAGCTTATGCTTTTGTTAAACTTAGCAATTTAGTTTTATCAATTTTATTAGGATGGCTTCAATATGACATTCACAATGTCTAGGATACTATGTTTTTCTCTAATAAGGGCAGGAATATGTGTGGATCCTAAATCTGTGTAATGCTCTCATTCATGTTATTTTGTTGTTTCTTCACTGTTTCCTCAATTAAAGTAAAAATTTTAAACCAAAGGGTCAGGAAAGTTATTTGAGAAATTCAAGTCTATTTGCAAACAGTCAAGAATAGAATGGAAACTCTAAGAAATTGGATAGGTACTCAGTACCCTGAAGCCTATAAGAAATAAGACAAGGTAAGTGCTAGAGGCTGATGAAGGAATGTAAAACGGGCCTGACTGAGGATTTGTCGGCAAGAGATTTACAACTTTATTATCCCCAGTGCCAAAGTGAGCTTTCTAAAGCACCAACCCAAAAACATCAGTTTCTTTCTTATAACTGTTTGTAGATTCTGTTGTCACTGCAGTGATTTAAAAACTTTTCCTCACAACAGAATACTCATTTTCCAAATAAAATATTATGTGGAACCTTAGGGAATATAAAACAGACAAAAGTAGGGACAGGTAGGAGGTTGGGGGTATCATAGATCTGACTTCTCAGAATTTGCTCATGTATGTGGTAGCCCTGATTCAGCCTCCTGGACTCCAGAGAACAGAGGGTCATCACCTCAAACCTATAGAGGTATTGACTTAGATTAGCATCTGAAGCCCTGACAGTTTGGCTCCAAACTACCTTTCCAGTCTTCTCTGTCACTGCCCCAACAGTAAAACCCAAGTTCCAACCATTCCAAACTCTTAGTAGTATTCCACATCTTGGCACTGTTTCATCTGTCTAGAAAATTCTTGCTTACAATACCAGTAGGAGAACTGCTCTTCCTAGTTTATCCAAGCAGAAGTGCCTTTCCCTTCCTGGGACTTCCCCTTCAAGGGATTTACATATATTCTGCTATAAACGCATTTAACATACAGCACTGTAATTGTGACCCAACTAAGTCTGTGACCCACTTAAGTTACCCTCATCCTATGGCCAGTCTCAGCATGGTGAAACTGCAAAAGAAACTAAATCCATAACCAAATGTCTTAAAGAACGTTGTACATCTTTATTGAGATTATCAAGACACACTGAGGTAAGGTCACATAAAACCAGCATCAAAGCTTTCCCAAAATCCCATGTAGCTAATTTTTCCTTTTCCTCTAATCCTATTTTTGCTGTATCAGTGTAAATATCTTCCCTTCTATCTTTAAAATCTCCAGTATGCACTGGGTTCTTTCTCACTATGTTATTTCTTTTCTAGAGATGGTTCAAGCCCTTTCATATGACAATCAGCTTATTTAAATTATTAAAAATCCAACCATTATTCTGCTCAGTCCAACAAAGACCCAACAAAGAGTCCAGCTTAGAAGGTAGGAGAGAAGGAAAAGCCATAAATAAGTATTCTTTAGTATTTTTGTCTACAATGTATGCGTCAATCTGTATTCCACAAGACTGTGCTCCCTAACCATGTCTTCATTTTCATTTCCAGGTTGTCTTATATTTTTTATATCACCAATACTTAGCACAATGCCTGAGACAAAAATAGGTATTCAGTAAATACTGGTTGCTTGAATAAGTAAATGAGTAATAAATGACTGAATGAATGAATGGAATGCTCATTTTCCACAGGAAATTCATGTAATTGCAAAAATACCTAATTCTTACAACAGTAAACCCATTATCACTGCGTTCTCAGAGAACTATGCTATAAAGTTATGTAGAAATAAAGTAAATTTTTTGAATCATTTAACAGTAATGTTTTTCACTCAAAGACATCATTGCTCATCTATTGAAACACAAGGCAGGCCATATTTCCCCATCATCTGGGTTAGCTGCACAAAGTCTCACATTGCCTTAGACACCTCTGCACAAAAGATGGCTTGCCAGTTTGCAGCCACAAGGAAATCATCCCTAGGAAAAATAGCTTCATTTTTCCATTTCTCCCTCTATTACATATATACAGGCTAGGTACCTAATACCTTACAGTGTTCCCCCTTTACTTCTACATGATCAAATCTACTTCATTCTGAATTATTAACTGTTGAAATCATATAGCATTCTGATTTTTAGCAAGACATTTTCTACTTGATCTTCCCAAGAATGGTGTAGATAGGGGATAAAAGATTAAGTTGGTAAAATGGTACTTTCTCTTAGATTATAGAATTTACCATTCAAGGAATAAACTAAACTCTGTTAGCCATGAGAAGGAAGGTGGTTTGGATGAGAATCCTTTTACCCATAAGTTTCTGTCCTTTTCCTTAACTCTGTCATGAAGAGAAAAGGTAACTCAGTCCTGGATTTCCCTCTTTCTTTTAAATATTAGGAAGAGAAAAATGAGAATTTCGGGAATTAGTGGAATCATCAACCCTCATATTTATTTTGGAACCTCTGGGTAAGAGCTAGCCCTACATTCAGAGTAAAATACTTTTAAAAATAAATAAAGAAGCATTTAAATTCCTTCCAAGAAGCATTTTTGTCACAGTATACTCTTCACAGCTGCCTTCACGTCTTTGTTCCTCAAACTATAGATAAGAGGATTAAGCATAGGTGTCACCACTCCATAGAACAGGGAGATGATTTTGTCTGTGACTTGTTCTTTGTCTGCACCAGAAGAGTCTTTAGCCTTGGGCTTTGCATACATGAAAAGGATGGTTCTGTAGAATATAATCACCACTGTTAGGTGGGCAGAGCAGGTGGAGGAGGCTTTGTGCCTTCCTTCTGCAGAAGGAATTCTCAGGATGGTGGAGAGAATAAAAACATATGTAACAAAAATAAAAAGTACTGGCCCTACAAGAAAAATCATACTAGCAACAACCATGCTAATAATATTTATGGAGATATTAGCACAGGCCAATTTTAAGACAGCCAAGATTTCACAAGTAAAATGATTAATGACGTTATCTCCACAGAAAGGAAGCCGCATTGCAAGGGAGGTTTGCAACACAGAATTGATGCCTCCTCCAATCCAGGACCCCGCAGCCATGGACATGTATGAAGCCTTGCTCATGATGATAGGGTATCATAGAGGGTTACAGATGGCCACATAGCAGTCAAACGCCATCATACTTAGAAGGACACACTCTGTTGCTCCCATAGCAAAAGAGAGAAACATTTGCACTCCACACCCAGAGAAGGAAATAGTTTTCTTTGACGTTAAGAAGCTGCTGAGAAATAGTGGAATAGATGAACTAGTGTAGCAGATGTCCAAGAATGATAAGTTACTGAGGAAAAAGTACATGGGGGTGTGCAAGTGGGTGTCATAAACACTCACAATGATGATGACTCCATTTCCCAACAGGATCACCAAATACATACATAGGACCAGCACAAAGTAAATGGCCTCTAGCTCTGGGTAGCCAGAAAGCCCCAGCAGGACAAATTCTGTCATGAAAGACTGATTAGAGTTTCCCATGCTAATATTTTCTTTCACCAACAGGAATTCTGTAGTGGCTGGAATGTGTGTGGATCTTTTACAGCAGTGTCTGTAAGAATCATTTGCATTCTTGAATGGCTTCCCTATGGGTAATAAAGACCTGTAATTGGATATATAAATAGCACAAGAATATGTTACGACCCTCTAAGTTAAGATCAGTTAGACGTTCAGACTTCATGAAGGAGTCCCCAGCTCTCAAAAAGAATATTCTTGTTAAAGAATAGATTAAAAACACATGCAACTGAGTTAGAATTATGAATCTCATTTGCATTATAAATTTAAATTATTTTAATACAATGTTACCATATTTTGACCAAATAATCCAGAACAAATAGAAAATGTATGAAATATTACTAGCCAGCAGATATCTGACCATTTTAACCAACATTATTATCTGTAACCAAACATTTTTCTTCACACTATGTTATACCTAACAAAATTGCTGTTCTTCAGTTACTAAAACAAAGTTATATGTGAAAGTTCTGCTTCAATGGTAATTTAATCTTAATTGCAGAAGAGTCTTGTGGGCTAAAAGAATAAATAGAAAAGACATTTTTAGGAAAAAGGACTTTTGGTTATTCCTAATTTAGGACAAATATGAATACCTGAACTATCCTCCTAAGAATATTGACTAGAGAAGAAGTATTACTTATAAAATAGTAAGGGAAAAAATTGAGATAAAATTATTCTTGTTTGTCTTTTTCAATACAGATTAGTAAATCTTTCTAGGTCACCCTATTGTTCTGCCTGATATACACGATGGATAAAAAGTTGACCTCAGAAAAACTCTAGTGTACATTTCTCAATCTATAATCAAACCATAAATAAATGTATAAATTAAAGAATTTCAGTAATGAGGGATTTGCTTTTTTACCTCTAAGTATGAGAAAATACATATTGCCTTCTTCCTGCAGAGAAGTCAGCTTCCTCTGCTCGAACAGCTGTTCTGCTGATCTTCCTCTCACTGCATATTTGGAAATACCCATGATAATGAGAGGTAGGTCACTCAAAAAGCTCTTAAACATAGCAATTTGCTATAATTATTTGTATCCTTATTTGATGTAATATGGAGTATTTCTATATTTAAATGCCAAAAACAGAAGTCCTACTTTTTAAAATCAGATTGCTAGCCTCATAAGTTCCATCTCAATAACCTCACAAAGATAACTAAAAGAACTATCTGCTTCTCAGTTCTCATTAAAATCAAGTAGCTGCCATTGCTATTGTAGAAGCCAATTAATCATTGGCAAAATAGAAACTAGCTCTAGTAATGATGAAAGCTGGGGCTCTTGGCAGTCTTTTCACTAGCAGAGGATTCTTCAAAAGACCAGCCAATGAAGCACCAAAGCAACTCAAAGTGTTTGCTGCTTTGAGGATGCTTCTAATCCCAAAAGTAATTTAAACCTCACAATGTGGATTGGACAGAATTTTAAAACTTTCTAGTACTTTTGGGACGAAGTCTCTCAGAAGCAATTAAAACAAAGTTGTTGATACAATTTAATTAAAGTTTAACTCATAAAACAGTAACAATTATTCTAGCTTTACATTCTCTGGGAAGAGTAAGTTGAGGAATGCTACCCAGGTAAAACAGCCAAGACATGGAAATTAGAATTCACTATATCTGATGGAGAGATGTAGCAGTAACCCGTGACGCTTAATGCAAAATGATGCTTTGTTCTTAATAAATGAATTGTTAATCACATTTATTTTGACCATTAATCCTGGAGTCTCAGAATCCATAAGCTTCATACTGGTCTCATTGGCCCCTCTAAACAGCCAAAATCACATGCACGGTCATTTTAATTTTGTTCACTCATCCCCTCTGTTCAAATATATATGCAATATCCCAACCTCATTCAACCTGTTCTTTAGTTATATCCACACTAGCATGGCACAACATGAGTCCAACCACGCAACAACTTCCGTGAGTGAGCAAGCCTTACTTTACCTTTTTTTTTTTTTTTTTTTTTTTGAGACGGAATCTCACTCTGTCACCGAGGCTGGAGTGCAGTGGCACAATCTGGGCTCACTTCAAGCTCCGCCTCCTGGGTTCACGCCATTCTCCTGCCTCAGCCTCCCTAGCAGCTGGAACTACAGGCGCCCGCCACCATGCCCGGCTAATTTTTTTGTATTTTTTGGTGGAGACAGGGTTTCACCGTGTTAGCCAGGATGGTCTCGATCTCCTGACCTCATGATCCGTCCGCCTCGGCCTCCCAAAGTGATGGGATTACAGGCATGAGCTACCGCACCTGGCCCTTACTTTACTTTTTAACAGGAAAAGAAATTCTGACTTGAAGTAATTCTTTATAACACTTATTATGACTATCTTTTGAAATGAATATCAACCCTTAAAGAATTCAGTTATTTTACACAGATATGACAAAATAATCTTTCAGCATAGAAACAAGTGGGATCACTATGTGTAGTGTTAGAAAGAAGGGAATAAAACTGGACAATGGTGCTCTTTTTTTGTCAGTGGACAATATTTTTAAAAAGTTATTGAGCAAGAGATGTAACATAATCCTGAAGAATGGGTAAACTACTTATGCCATGAAAAATTGGTATTATACGCTTCAACAAATCAAATTTGAAATAAAAAATTCTCAGAGTTGTTAACTTTATGCAAGGACATGTTCAGTGTACTGGTTCGTAAGGCAGATGTTGGGCATGTTTTCTCACTAATCAATACTCAATGGACAAAAGAATTAAACAGGTCAAATGTGACACTGTAGAAGCTATACTATAATGTAAATGGAGGATAGACTGTAACTGCAAAACAACTTATAAGCAAACTCTGCAAAACAAAAAAATGTCAAGGAGAGCCAAATCATTATAGAAATATAATTAACAAGTTATGTAATATAGATGCTTATATTTATTTAATTTTTTTTTTGAGACAGGGTCTCATGCTGTCGCCCAAGCTGGAGTGCAATGGCACAATGACAGCTTACTGCAGCCTTGACCTCCCAGGCTCAAGTGCTCTTCCACCTCTCTTCTTCCCGAGTAGCTGGGACTATGGATGTGCCACCATATCCAGTTAATTTTTGTATTTTTTGTAGAGATGGGGTCTCACCATGTTTCTCAGGCTCATCTCAAACTCCTGGGCTCTAGTGATTCTCCTATGTCAGTCTCCCAAAGTGCTGGGATTATAAGTGTGAACCACCACACCCGATCAGATGCTTATAATTTATTACAAACAACAAATACATTTTTAATATAAGTATTATCAATGCAATATTTTTATTTTATCCCAGCATACATATGCAAGGAAATTAGAAATAATTCAAATTTAACTGTGTCATGTATTTTTATTTGCTAATCTGGTAACCCTAACTTACTGTGACCAAGACTCACATGGCATTCAGTCCAAGCCTGATTGCCCCAACCAGCATCACTGTCAGTTCCAACCACTTGCAGGCATTGGAGAGAGTATGAGACCCAGATCTCTGGGCATTACTACTCATAATAATACTGTCAGACAGTACTATTTTCAGAACTTTCAAATGAGAAACAGAGAATATTCAGTCTTTGTCTGTTTGGGTTGCTATAACAAAATACCAAAGACTGAGTGATTTATAAACAACAGAAATTTATTTCTCACATCTCACAGTTCTGGAGGCTGAGAAGCCCAAGATCAAGGTACCAGCAGATTCAGTATCTAAATAGGGACCATTCCTCATAGACATCTGTTTCCAATGGAGCCTCACATGAAGGAAGGGTTGAGGAATTTTCTGGGATGACTATGTCAAGGGCAGTATTCCTATTCATGAAGGCTATACCCTCATGACCTAATCCCTTTCCAAAGGCCTCACTTCCTAATACCATCACCCGGGAATTAGGGTTTCAACATATGAATGGGAGGGGGGACATAAACATTCATTCAGTCAATTGTACAGTGTATTTTGCTAAGCCATTCTAGTGGATACAAGATTATAACATTATTTGTTGTCTCAAATGTGCCTAGCCACCACTTAAATATCATCTACAGCTGCAACCCTCCATCCCTCTCCATAATAGTAAGAAAAAACAATTAAGATGAACTTATAGGTTCTCATGATGAAGTACTGCTCTTCAATATTTCCAAGCCCTAGTCTATAATATCATCTTCTCTCTCATTTGATTCAATTCAGTAAACATTAACTGAAGCCTCCCTTGTTCCAGGAACTATGTGCCTGCTTCGGCCTTAGATCTCATGAATTACACTAATTCCCTGCCAGATACTGTAGCCTATTATAAGAATGGCAAGCCAATGTCTAGGGTCTCACTATCTTGGGTCAGCTCCCCAAATGCCACCTGTCTATACTCCAAGCAGAACACTCTCTGAATTCTTTCTTCATATTGCTCTGCCTTATGCTGTACTCACACATCAATCCATGCTTTTCCTTTAAGTGACTGGCGTAGGCTGCTTGAATTTCCTGTCAAACCCCTAGGTATATGGTATTCAAATGCCTTCTTGTCCCTCAGGAAGCTGCTATACCTGTCCATTTCATTTTGTCTAAAGACAAACTAATAATATATGAATAATTAAGTACCTGGTACAAGCCTCTTCTTTTCCCTAAAATAGCTTACTTCACTAAACTATGGCTATATTTTATCTAAATTGTGAATAAAAATTTTATTTCATGTTATGCTTAGAAAATTTTGTTTCAAAACCTTGAAGTTAGATAAGGGTAATGTTGTTTTGGTTTTTTTTCTGGTTTTTTTATTTGCTTGTTTTGTTGTATTTGAGACAGGGTCTCGCTCTGTCACAGAGGCTGGAGTAGAGTGGCTCAATCTCAGCTCCCTGCAACCTACACCTCCCAGGCTCTCTTGATCCCCTCACCTCAGCCTCCCAACTAGCTGGGACTACAGACATGTGCCACCACGCCCAGCTAATTTTTTATATTTTTTGTAGAGATGTGGTTTTGCCATGTTGCCTCAGCCTCCCGAAGTGCTGAGATTATAGGCATGAGCCACTGTGCCCAGTGGTAATGTTTTCTTACATTTTTAATGAATGAGCACAGAACCTCATCTATCTCCTCAAACTAAAGTTTATCAAAATAGTTAATATTAGCTATAATGCAGCTACATCATGATCAGTATATTTACTCTGTCAATCAAGAGAGTCTCTGTCACAGCCTCATTATCATTCTCTTTCTTGCTTGTATCCTGTCTGTTTCCTAACAGGTGGGTTTTGTCCAGATTGGAAGGATAGTAAAAGGCAGCAAGTAAATACCAATTAGTCCGTGATATAAGGAAAAGAACAAGGACATAAAATTGGAATCGGTTAACTAGAATTCAGGTGGGTTATTCCCAAAGCCACATAGTGGAAAGATCAGGGTTGTGATTAGAAAAACACAGAACTACAGATTAATAAATATTGTTGAGCTAGCCAGATACAGAGGAATGGGAAAGACAACAATGGACAACGTAACTTAACTCAGTTGAAAAACAAGTTTCAGTGTAAGTTCTGTTTCTTAATAACTTTTTAATCTAATTAATCAATCATTCAATAAACAAATCTTTTGCTAGTTTGCTCTTCCTAGAAACTAGAAATATATTATTTAAAAAATAATAAAGCATTAATTATTAGAAATAATAAAATCATATCAAGCATCTTCTTGGACCATTGTGGAATGAAATTAGAAGTCAATATCAAAAGGAACTCTGGAAACTGCACAAGTATGGCAGCACGCAGTGGCTAGTGCCTATAATCCCAGCACTTTGGGAGGCCAAGGTGGGTGGATCACCTGAGGTCAGGAGTTCAAGACCAGCCTGGCCAACATGGTGAAACCCCATCTCTACTAAAAAAAATACAAAATTAGTCAGGCATGATGGCATGTGCCTGTAATCCCAGCTCCTGCTGGGGCAGGAGAATCGTCTGAACCTGGGAGACGGAGGGTCCAGTGAGCCGAGTTCGCATCATTACACTCTAGCCTGGGCAAAGAAAGCGAAACTCCACCTCAGAAAAAAAAAAAAACTGCACAAGTATATGGAAACTGAGCAACTTCCTTCTGAATTACTTTCAGGTAAACAACAAAATTAAGGCAGAAATCAAAAAATTTTTTGAAACAAATGAAAATAGAGACAGCACATACCAAAATCTCTGGGATATAGCATAAGCAGAGTTAAAAGGAAAGTTTATAGTGGTATAAACCTACATCAAGCAGATAGAAATATTTCAAATTAACAGCCTAACTCTGCACCTAAAAGAACTAGATAAACAAGAACAAACTAATCCTAAAGCTAGCCGAAGAAAAGCAATAACTAAAATCAGAGCAGAGCTAAATGAAATTGTGACCAAGAGTACCATATGAAAGATCAACAAAATTAAAATTTCGTTCTTTGAAAGGATAAACAAAGTTGATAGGCCACTAGCTAAGTTAACCGAAGAAAAAAAGAGACAAAATTCCAATAAGCGCAATCAAAAATGAGAAAGGTGACATTACATTGAATACCACAGAATTAACAAAAGATCCTCAGAAACTGCTATGAACATCTCCCTGTGCACAAACTAGAAAACTAAGAGGAAATGGATACATTCCTGGAAACATACAACCTCCCAAGACTGAACCAGGAAGAAATTAAAATCCTGAACAGACCAATAAGAAGTTATGAAACTGAATCAGTAATAAAAAATCTACCAAACCAAAAATAGCCCAGCACCAGATGGATTCACAGCCAAATTCTACCAGATGAACAAAAATGAGCTGGTTCCAATTTTACTAAAACTTTTCAAAAAAATTGAGGATACCTCCCTGACTCATTCCATGAAACCAGTATCATCCTGATATGAAAATGTGCAAAGGACAGAACAACAACAACAAATTACAGGCCAATATCTCTGATGAACATAGATGCAAAAATCCTCAACAAAATACTAGCAAACTGAATCCAGCAGCACATCAATAAGATAATTCACCATCATCAAATGGGTTTCATTTCAGAGATGCAAGGATGGTGCAACCTACACAAATCAATAAATGTGATTCACCATTTAAACAGAATTAAACACAAAATCCACATAATCATCTCAATAGATGCAGAAAAAGCATTCAATAAAACTCAACAGCGCTTCATGATAAACACCCTCAACAAACTAGGCATCAAAGGAACATACCTCAAAATAATAAGAGCCATATATGACAAACCCACAGCCAACATCATTTCTCTGGTGAGGACTGCGCCTAAGAACTAGAACAAAATAAGGATGCCCACTCTCACCATTCCTATTCAATGTAGTACTGGAAATCCTAGCCAGAGAAATCAGGCAAGAGCAAGAAATAAAATGTATCCAGAGGTAAAAGAAAAAAAAAGAAAGAAAATATATCCAAATATGAAAGAAGAAGGTCAAATGACCTCTGTTCACTGATGAAATGACACTGTACCTAGAAAACCCTGAAGATTCCTCCCAAAAACTCTTAGACATGAAAAACAATTTCAGCAAAGTTTCAGGATACAAAATCCATGCACAAAAAATTGATTTCCTTTTTATACACTAACAACACTCAAGCTGAGAACAAAATCAAAACTCAATTTTATTTATAATTGCCACACAAAAAATTAAATACCTAGTAATATATTTAACCAAGGAGTGAAAGACCTCTACAAGGAGAACTACAAAACACTGGTGAAAGAAACTGTAGATGACACAAACACATGGGAAAATATCCCATGCTCATGGATAGGAAGAATCAATATCATTAATTAACTGTGTTGCCCAAAGCAATATACAGATTCAATGCAATTTCTATCAAATTACCAATGTCATTTTTCACAGAATTAGACAAAACAATTCTAAAACTCACGTAGAACCTAAAAAGAGCCCAAATAGCCAAAGCAATCCTAAGCAAAAAAGAAAACCTGGAGGCATCACATTATCCAACTTTATACTATAAGGCTAGAATAATCAAAATAGTATGGTACTGATACTAAAATAGACACGCAGACCAATGGAACAGAATAAAGAACTCATAAATAAAGTCATACACCCACAACCAATTGATCTTCAATAACATTGATAAAAATAAACAAGGGAGAAAGCAAAACCTATTCAATAAATGGTGCTGGGAAAACTGGCTAGCCATATGCAGAAGAATAAAACTGGATCCCTACCTCTCACCATATACAAAAATTAACTCAAGATCTATTAAAAATTTAAATGTACTACTGAAAACTGTGAAAATTCTAGAAGAAAACCTAGGGGAAAAACTCTCTTGGACATTTGCCTAGGCAAAGAATTTTTGTTTAGCATCTCAAAAGTAAATGCAACAAAAACATAAATAGACAAATAGGGCATAATTAAACTAAATAACTTCTTCACAGCCGAAGAAACAATCAACAGAGTAAACAGAAAACCTACAGAATGGGAGATATTTGCAAACTATGCATTTGATAAAGGACTAATAGCTAGAATCTATAAGGAACTTAAGCAAATCAATAAGAAAAAAATTTTTTTCATGAGCAAAGGACATGAACAGACATTTCACAAAAGAAGTTATACAAGTGGCCAACAAATACAGGAAAAAATAATCAACATCACTAATCATCAGAAAAATACATATTCAAACCAGAATAAGATACCATCTCACATCAGTCAGAATGGCTATTATTAAAAGGTCAAAATATAAGAGATGTTGGTGAGGATGCAGAGAAAAGGGAACATAAATTAGTTCAACCCCTATGGAAAACAGATGGAGATTTTTCAACGAACTAAAAATGGAACTACCATTCAACTCAGCAATCCAGTTGTATCAAAAAGACACTTGCACTCATATGTATATCACTGCGCTATTTACAATAGCAAATTCATGGAATCAAGTGTCTGTTAACAGTCAATTGGATACAGAAAATGTGCCACATATACACCATGGAAAAGAATGAAAGCCATAAAAAAGTATAAAAGCATGTCCTTCACAGAAACATTGATGGAACTGAAGACCACTGTCCTAAGTGAAATAACTCAGAAGCAGAAAATCAAATACCACATGTTCTCACTTATTAAGTGGGAGCTAAACAATGGGTATACATGGACATAAAGATGGGAAAAACAGACACTGGGGACTCCAAAAGGGGGAAGGATGGGAAGGAATGATGGTTAAAAAACTACCTATTGGGTACTATGTTCACTATGTGGGTGATGGGTTCACTAGAAGCCCCAAACCCCAACAATACACAATATACCCACAAAATAAACCTGCACATGTACCCCTGAATTGGTAATAAAATATTTTAAAGAGAAAAATAAAATAACAAAAAATAATAAGACACTCAGGAGCTATAAAAAACAACTAATATGAAATAAACTTTTTTTTTTTTTTTTTTTTTTTTTGAGATGGAGTCTCGCTCTGTTGCCCAGGCTGGAGTTCAGTGGCGCAATCTTGGCTCACTGCAAGCTCCGCCTCCCAGGTTCACGCCATTCTCCTGCCTCAGCCTCCGGAGTAGCTGGGACTACAGGCCCCCACCACCACGCCCGGCTAATTTTTTTTTGTATTTTTAGTAGAGACGGGTTTTCACCGTGTTAGCCAGGATGGTCTCCATCTCCTGACCTCGTGATCCGCCCGCCTCGGCCTCCCAAAGGGCTGGGATTACAGGCGTGAGCCACCGCGCCCGGCGGAAATAAACTTTAAGGTACGTTTTTTTCAACAAACAGAGTACCACAAGTGGTCTCAAAGTCTTCTATATTCAGGTGTTACCCCTTCCTTTAGTAGCCCAATTGTGATAATCTAGCCTTTATTTTTCATGAATGCACATAGTTTATACTCCTCGCAAAATATTGCTTAGGACTTTTATATTTTCCTAGTTGTTGGTTATTTTTTTCTCCAGCCTGATTGATATTCCATGCTTCTCTATCATTTTTCTCTGAAAATCTTATAATTACTTTCTCATCTTATTTATTAATAAGTTCTTTACAGTCCATTTTGCTGCACAAAGAGTATATACAAGTACCTTTAAAAACATTTACAGGTCAGGCACAGTGGCTCACGCCTGCAATCCCAGCAATTTGGGAGGCCGAGGCGGGCGGATCACCTGAGGTCAGGAGTTCAAGAGCAGCCTGGCCAACATGGTGAAACCCCGTCTCTACCAAAAAATACAAAAAATTAGCTGGGAGTGGTGGTGGGCGCCTGTAATCCTAGCTACTCGGGTGGCTGAGGCAGGAGAATCGCTTGAACCCGGAAGACGAGTTTGCAGTGAGCCGAGATCGCGCCATTGCACTCCATCCTGGGCAACAAGAACGAAACTCCGTGTAAAAAAAACCAAATTTACATACATTCCAGGGACTGTCGTTTTTAACACACTACTTGGCCTGAAAATAAGATAAAGTGATGCCGTAAAGAAAAGATTTTAATACGGAATATCACTGCTGCTAATATCTGCTAGACATGCTACCTCACAAAGGCCTCTCAACGCCATTTCCCTCTTCAGTTCCTGGCCAGCCACCGTGTTGCTGAGTCCTCTTCGTTTCCTCCTTTTACAAGCATTGGGGTTAACCCAGTAAAAATATATAGGTACATAACTTCAAAGTATTTATCTTTAAAAGTATGGCTCTTCCCAGAAGAGTGAGTCTACCCTCAAAATGGATGGCAGTTTCTACTCTTAGAACTATAGGGAAAAAAAGTGCATATCCTCTATCACGCCAGTGATTTAGAAATACTAGAATCCAGCACCTTTTCACATGTATTTGTTATCCGCTTCAGGAATAACAGATATGTCATAAGAAAAAGATCCTTGAAACATCTTTACCTATCCAGTGAAATGTTTGGTGGTAAAAGAAAATCTCTTTAGACAAACCTTCAGAACATATTATCAATCAATGCGTACTGCCTTGCTATTATCAACCAAAGCATATCGTCTCCAAAAATAATAATTTTGACTCCAATTATTTGTCATATTTCACATGCATTTACTGGATGCCAATACCATTTTTTTCTAAGATAGAGAAGTTTCTAACTTACCAAATAATGTTTAAAGCTAAATTAACACAACAATCAAGTCTCATAGAACTAAAAACATCTAATTCACCACCTGATGCGTAAATATCCTCCAAAACATCCCTAACAGGCTGTTATCTATCTTTCTTGCACACCTCTAATAATGGGAAGCTCATCTGTTCTGAGGGAATCTAGTTATTACTGTCAAAAACTGCTTATATGAATCCAAAATCTGTTCTTTTGTGTGTATATTTTCTACTTTTTGTTTTTAGTTGTATTCTTTGAAACAATTACCACTTGAGTTTATTTTTAGAACTAAAATTAGAATTTCAGTCTGTATTTTAGACTTATAATTAGCAAAGATCATTTCATTCATTCATTGAACAAATATATAAGAGCCTACACTCTTCTAGGTAATGGTAAACAATGTGAACATTGGTGTTTGAGATGGAATCTGAATCCAGATCTTTTTTTATTCTAAAAGCCATCCCTTATTTTTTGTTTTCTGCTACTATCCAGATTCTTTTCAACTTGGAGATTACAGTAATCTATTTGCTTTCACAGAATCTAAACTTTTTTAATTCTATAGAGTCTGCTACCTTTTCCAAATTAATCTTCCTAATTCATGGTGTTCATCATCACCACAATTCAAAAACTTACCTTGGCTTTCCAACTAAGACATGAACACTTTGACCTGATACTAATGTCTCCCCACAAAACAACTACCACCTAAAATTCCAGATTATCTCCTAGGGCAATCTCATTCACTCTATGGTTTCAATGCATCATCAATAAACTGGTGAATCCAAATCCATAGGCCTCATCCCAGATTTCTCTCCTGGGCATTTTATGGTAGCATCTTATCTAAATGCAGTAAGTAAAACACATGTCTTTCACTCACCATGTTGACTTACACTACATTATCTTCCTGCTACTTTCCTATTATGAAAAGAAATGTTACCCCCTGTTCTTTTGATGATTTCCAAAATGCCTAAACTGAACTGCAAAGTTGTCTGAGCTCTAGATCCTAAATAACTCTTTAGCCTCATATTTCACAAAATTTCACCTCTCCCAACTGTTCTTTATCCCATGTGCAACCAAAATGGAGCTTCTTTTAATTTTTAGAATATACCACCTTCCCCCACCACCCCCCTCCTCTCTCTCTAGAAAACAAAGAGCAAATGGAGAATTTTTGAGGGAGAAAGAATAGCATAGCATATGCAGAGGGTAGGGAACTCTTCCTTTTCTTGCTTAATTGCTATTATCCTTCTCCCAGAATCTCCTGAAGATGTCATTCCTGACCCCTAGTCTGAGTTAGGCAACCCTCCTGTGTGCCCTGATAACATCCTATATCTCCCTTAATACAGCACTTATCACACATTATTGCAATCACGTGTTTAATTATCTGTGTCTGGCCAAACAGCAAGCACCTTAAGAATAAGCACCATCTTGCTCTTGTTAATCACTGTAATTACAGAATTAAGGCCAGTACCTGGCATATTTTTAACCACTCAGAATGCAAGTGTTATATTGTTGACTTCCCTTGCAATTCCTAACTGATTAATGGCACCACCAAATCTAAACTATCAAAACTTATAAAGTTGGACTCCTAGACATCTTTCACATCTGTTAACTACCCTCCAGCTATTCTTAGTACTATTTCCACATTATGCCTCCATTTGATTACTGCAAGGTACTCCCAGTTGGCCTTTCTACCTTCATTTTCAACACCATCGCTAGCACCTCAGTCTATTCTCCATAATTTTGTCTGCGTTATCTTTCCAAAAAATCAATCTGATCATGGTAAGCCTCTGTCAAATAAAAGCTGCATGATTTTGGGCCCGTTACTTAAGCCTCAATTTTCTTAATCTGTTAATAATATTTTAAGGTAAAAATGTGCAACTAAAGAAGCTAATAGGGGATCAATTGAATATCCAAAAAGAAAAAATTTAATCTTGGCCCCTACTTTATACACAAAAATCAAATCAAGATTGATTACAGATTTAGATATGAAAAATGGAACAATACATCTTTTAGAATAATACGTAGAAGTATTCTTTTAGAAGAATATATAGAAGAATAACCACAAAGAAAAGATTGTGAATTGGTCTAATTATATTTAAATTAATAACTTCTATTCATTAGATGTCATCATTAAGAACATAAACAGAAAGGAAAAATATTTTTTAAATAAATATTTTTAACAAAGGATTCATATAAATAAGATATGAAAAATCATTTAAAATCCATTTTAAAAAGACAACCTAGTAGAAGAATGGACCAAAAAAAAAGTGAATGTACATTTCATCAAATAAGGATATTTGAATATGCAATAAATGTATGAAAAATGCTTAACTTCAGGGAAATAAAAAAATAAAATAATATGCTACCACTCCCACCACAACAGCTAAAATGAAAAACAGAGATAATACCAAGTGTTTCCAAAGATGTAAAGCAACTTAAGTTCTTACATACTGCTGGTGGGAGCTTAAATTGGTACCAATACTTTATAGAACTGGAGATGTGTATGAAGCTAAGTATTTGCATACCCTATAACTCAGAATTCTTTCTAAACTATATATTCAATAGAGTGATTATATACAAATTTACACCAAAGATGCATATAAGTATGTTAATAAAAGCACTATTCATACCTTATACAAACACTAGAAAAATATAAATGTTTATCACAAGTAGAATAATGGAATATTTAGCATGGAGAATGAAGAAGGTGCAACTTCAAGCAATATAATATTGGTTAAAGGTATACATAATACATGATATTTGAAACAAATAAAATCAATATGCAGTATTAAAATAGTAATATCTATTAACTCTGAGGAGCTTTGGGGGTGCTTTCTCTGTTTTCCACGATCTGAGATGTGTTCCATTAAAGCATTCAACATGCTATAGCACTTATAAATTGAGCATTTTCAACAAATAACTAGATAGAGAACCCACTAAATACAGAACCCAATGCATTTCCTAAGACTTTAATAGATGTCTTTCATGATTAACAGTATTACTAGTGTTATTATTACATGCTTACAAAGCTGAAATTTCCATGGCTCATTCTCAAAAAGGAAACAGTCAAGCAATCAAAATAATTTTCAACCTCTACTTAACTTTCTTAAAAACCATGGAAGGAATCCAAATATTTCCTACCACAGTAACACTGATAAGAATTACTTTTTCTTTTATCCACTGGCATCATATCCCCCAGCTGTTTTGGAGCATCTCTCCATTTTCCAGCTTTGCTTTTTTTTTTTTTCCTCCCTCTCTCTTGCTTTCATTTCATATGATAATATTCTTTTGATGTAAATATCTTTTATCAGGTAAAATAAAATTTCTCTTCCTTGGACCAGCAGTTCAGGGGATGGTAAGTTTTAAAACAAGGGAAAAAACAGACTTTAAGTATTGAGGCTTATGTCAGTGAGCTAGGATATATATTGATTGTATCTCACATTTTTAATTATTTTGAAGATTATAAAGATCAATAACTGGAAGCTTCTGCTCTTTTGATAGATGGATTTTGAGAAGAGTTGAACATTAATATTCCCAAATCAAGGGTTATTTTTTCTGTCGCACTGTCGCTAAACTCAAATGTCACCTCTTCTGTGAAGCCTTTACTAAACCCTCCAGGAAAAAATCACTTCTCCCACTTCAGTGTTTCTATATGCTTCTTTGTGCCTCTTTTATAATTTGTATTATATATTGTATACTATTTATTCAGAGGGATGTAGTTGAAAGCACACATTTTAGAAATCAGGAAGAGATGGATAAAAATCCCAACTCTGTAGTTCACCAGGAACATAAAATTTAAAGACGTAAAGTGGAGTCCTCAGGAAATAGATGTTCATTATAGTTCTTTGTTGAATGAATGAAGGCATGATTGCTTTTCACACATTGAAGCTAAGCAAGCTTAGTTACCATTACTAGAATAAGCCTTGCCAATCATTGCTGCCTCTGCATCTTTGTTCATGCCATTCTCTCTATCTAAAATCAAAATCTCTCTAATCTATCACAATCCAAGACCCTCCTCAAAAGCCTCCTCTGCCTTGAAGCTCCTACTTATCATTTTAACTAAATTGGATTTGTTTAGCAATCTTTCATAATATTTATAATATGAAGATTTATTTTCTATTTGTGTGTTGTTTGTATATCCTGCTTTATTGAAAGGTCATTAGAAGTAGAGTTACTGGTCTTTGTAATCTCCACAATTAACACGTTGATAATTTGGATCAGTGCAATTTGTGTATTCAACTTTTTTAAACAGGCATTTTTCTTTTGAAGGTTGTGTCTTGTATGATGTTACAGGGAATACACACAACTAGCAATAAGCCCAGTTGAGACAGCATTCTCTTCAACAGTGTTTCAGGCCAGGTGTGGTGGCTCACAACTGTAATCCCAGCACTTTGGGAGGCCAACACAGGCAGATCACTTGATGTCAGGAGTTTGAGCCCAGCCTGGCCAACATGGTGAAACCCCATCTCTACTAAAAACACACAAAAGGCCAGGTGTGGTGGCTCACACCTGTGGTCCCAGCACTTTGGGAGGCCAAGGCAGGTGGATCAGAAGGTCAGGAGATCGAGACCATCCTGGCCAACATGGTGAAACCCTGTCTCTACTAAAAATAAAAAAATTAGCCAGGCGTGGTGGTGGGTGCCTGTAGTCCCAGCTACTTGGGAGGCTGAGGCAGAAAAATCACTTGAACCTGGGAGTCAGAGGTTGCAGTGAGCCGAGATCACACTACTGCACTCCAGCCTGGTGACAGAGCGAAACTCAGTCTCAAACAAACAAACAAAAAGCCCACACAAAAAAATTAGCTGGGTGTGGTGGCGTGCACCTGTAGTCCCAGCTACTAGGGAGGCTGAGGCATAAGAATTGCTTGAAACCAGGAGGCGGAGGTTGCAGTAAGCCAATATTGCCTACTGCATTCCAGCCTGGGTGACACAGTGAGACTCTGTCAATTAAAAAAACAATGTGTTTCAGTGTTGTTTACCTGGTTTTGTCTCACCTGAGTGTAACAACCGCGACTATAATAGGTCAGGCAGAGTCTATCTAACTGAATTAAACACAGATAAGAATCCCAGAGCTACTTTCTTAAGGTCATTATTTAACAAGAAGAAATATTAATCTATAAACCAGTAATTCCTACATATGTATCTCCATTCCTGACTTCCCTAACATCCAGATTCATATATTCAACTTCCTACTGCACATTTCCACTTAGATAATTAATAAGTGTATCAAGATAATGAGTTCAATACAGAACTGTTGATTCTCTCTATCCTCATTTGGTTTCATCTTCCCTACCTCAGGAAATGTAAAACCACTTATACAAATCCAATGCACCAGAAAATTCTGTCAGTTTGACTCAAAATTTATACTGAACCTGAATACTTCAGTTGCTACCACTCTAGTCCAAGCTACTGTTATCACATCTACACTACTGAAATGGCTTTCAAAGTCATCTCCTTGCTTTCATTCTTGTTCTGCTACAAGTCATTCTCCAGTAGCTTGGGTGGTTTTTTTGTTTGTTTGTTTTGTTTTGTTTTGTTTTGAGACAGAGTCTCGCGGTGTTGCCCGGGCTAGAGTGCAGTGGCGTAAACTCGGCTCACTGCAACCTTGGCCTCCCAGGTTCAAGCAATTCTCCTTGCCTCAGCCTCCCGAGTAGCTAGGATTACAGGCACTCACCACCACACCCGGCTAATTGTTTTTGTATTTTTAGTAGAGACCGGGTTTCACTATGTTGGCCAGGCTGGTCTCGAACTCCTGACCTCATGATCCGCCAGCCTCGGCCTCCCAAAGTGCTGGGATGACAGACGTGAGCCATCACACCCAGCCGTGTTATTTTAAAAATGTAGACATATGATGTCAGGCATTTACTAAAAACCATCTTAATATTACCATTATATTTCGAATAAAATCCACTCCTTACCATGGCCTACAAGGGTCTACATAATCTGACCCAACCTATTTCCGCAGTGTCATCCATCTCCTACCTCCTTCCCATGCTTACCAGAGTCCACATCTGTTGTCTTCTTGCTGTTTCCCAGACATACCCAAGCCTTTGCCTTTGCTGCTGCCTCTACCTGGCACAGTCTTTCCTGGTCCCCCAGGTTTCTCTCTCATTTAACTCAAGTTTTGGTCAAGAACTTATCATACTTTGTTTTCCTTCATAGCGCTCACATTTCCCAAAATTGCATTATATATTCATTGTTTTACGAGTTTATTGCCACAGGAATGTAAGCTCCACAAGGATGAGGACTGTTTCTTTTCTTTTTTTTTTTTTTTTTTTTGAGACGGAGTCTTGCTCTGTCACCCAGGCTGGAGTGCAGTGGCACGATCTCAGCTCACTGCAACCTCCGCCTCCTGGGTTCAAGTGATTCTCCTGCCTCAGCCTCCCAAGTAGCTGGGACTACAGGCACGCGCCACCATGCCCAGCTAATTTTTGTATTTTTAGTAGAGACAGGGTTTCACCATGTTGGTCAGGATGGTCTCGATTTTTTGACCTTGTGATCTACCCACCTCAGCCTCCCAAAGTGCTGAAATTGCAGGTGTGAGCCACCATGCCCAGCTAACTTTTTCTTATTAGTTATTGTTAAGTAATGTTAAACAAATATTATGTACTCTATAAATATTTGTTGAAGAATGAGCACACACATTGCAGGACAGCCCTATAACCTGTACACTTTGGAATATATATATCGCAAAATATATTTGTGTGTATATATATGCACACACATTCTGGCATTCACTATAAGTTTCTGCTTTTTTTCTGATTTGATTACTGATAGGAACCCTAAGCTGGTAATTAAAGGAGTATTCTTTATACATTTTTAGTCTACTTACCTTTCCTCCAGGTTTCACTGATCTTTCTCGTTTTTTATAAGCTGCTTGTTACATTTTGTATGTGCTGGACTTGGCTACTCCTGGTTTTAGGGCTCTGATTTATTTCACTTTAAAGGTAAGTTTAGAATGTCTTGCAAAATGCTGGCTACTTATTACTCAGTGCTCTCTCACTCTTGCTCTCTCTCTCCCCACTGCAATAAAGCTCTTTTTATCCCCCAAATCTAACTGCTTGGACTCCTGTCAGTGTACTTGCAATAATTCATAGGTTTTTTTGTTCTGTGTCTTGCGGTTGGAAATCTGGCAAGCTCTGAACTTCTCTTAAAATTCATTTGCTTATCTATTAAATGGGGACAATGAAAACAAAATGTCTGTTTTTGGTGATAGGGAGGGTAATAATATTTACTGCTGTAAAGAGTCACATCTCATTTGGAGTACAAGCTGAAAATCAGTTTCTAACTTCACACTGACATACTATGTTCTGTGTTACATCATTTGACATTCTTTCGAAAATTCAGTGCACATTTATTTACTAATGTAATAACCGATGAAATGACACACCACACTTGCAAAACAAGAAGTTAAAACTATCCTACCATACTGTCTAGTGGCAAGATTTTCCCAGGGGATTCAAGCAAGACACTTTAAATATGACATACTGGTAAAAATTCTTGACTTGTGACTACAGCTATTTCTGACAAAATTGTTATAAAGGTTAAACTCTATATAAGAAACATTTTAGGCCAGGCACAGTGGCTCACACCTGTAATCCCAGCACTTTGAGAGGCAGAGGTGGGCAGATTGTTTGAGGTCAGGAGTTCGAGACCAGCCTGGCCAACACAGCAAAACCCCATCTCTACTAAAAATACAAAAAATTAGCCAGGCATGGTGGCGTGCACCTGTCGTCCCAGCTACTCGGGAGGCTGAGGCAGGAGAATCACTTGAACCCGGGAGGCGGAGGTTGCAGTGAGCTGAGTTCGTACCACTGCGCTCCAGCCTGGGTGACAGACCAAGACTCTGTCTCAAAAAAACAGACAAACAAACAAACAAAAAACAGTTTAAATATCTTATAATTATAAAAATAGATAAATAAATAAATAAATAATATTCAGACTTTGAAATACCAACACAATTAGGTGATTGGGTAACTCTCACAGACATGTAAATGAGAATAGACAAATGTGTCATTGAGGAAGAAGCTAGTTTAAGTTTTCTTCTTTTGAGAAAATGAGCATATATACAGGTATATGAATAAAAACTTTTTAAAACAATTTCAGAAAAATTTGAGAGAGAACACATCTGCATTGAAATTTGGAATAAACTTATGGATTAAGAGACATGTCAATGAGGTGAAATGGAATGAGTGCCATATATTTAAGGTTTTTTTTCTAATATGCTATCTCCATACTATCTGCAAATTCTTTCAACTAGACTTCTTATGTAAAGCATATGTAGCCACCCTCAGAATCTTTAGTACCTGTTTAAAAACATATATCCTGCCAATTTTAACAGCTAAGAGGAAGGGATACTCTTGTAGGAACCTGATTCAAGAGAGAAATTTTTTGATGCTATTAGTAATATCCCCCATTCGCTTTAACTCCAGAGGCCATGAAGAGGAAATTTTCTGTCAGATCTTATCTGCTTTTCAATTCATTAACAGTTTTCTTATTTTTTTGACAGGAGTATAAGCAGAGAACAAATAATTAATTTTTAATTGTAGCATTTTGTGTGACACTGATTAGAAAGTTCAAATATCTAAAGTTATAAAATAAACAAAATGACAAAAGGAGAATAATTTTTTTCACGTCATCACCAAGAGGTTATACTTTATTAAAGCAGTCTTTGCAGGGTTCCCTGAAAGAGATCTTTCCAATATTAAAATACATATGTACGCATTTACATTGACAGAAAACTTGTCAAGTTGAATGTATGATGCAAGACAGACTCTAGTGGAGGCAAGACTAGTAAGTGGATAAAAAGAACTGTGTCATAAATTTAAACCTTCTTTAGGAAAAAAGTTTTATTTAAAAACAAAAACTTTTTAATAGGTTGCTTACAACTCCAACAAGGGAGCAAAGCAAAATAAAATGTAATGGTCCCTCAGAAACGTAGTTTTCTATACTGAATGCTTGTCTGGATTTCAGTTGCTATTCCTGGGGGATGGGAAGGAAAGAAAAGCATCAGAAGATTTACCAAATTTAAACTCTAAGTAATAAGGAGAAAGTCATTAACGAAATTCTTTCAGATGATATGTTTTCAGTTAAAGTTCGTCTGTTTTTAGTTACTTCGGAGGGAACTAGATTCCCCAGGGCATGCCAGACTGTATAAACCTTAGCAAAAGGACCTTAGTTATTCCTACAGCATTTATTCTGCAGGAATTAATTTCACATTCAATATACATTGCATCATGAAGATACCTTTGATAATGTTATTTCTCTGCATCTACATGATAACAGCCTATATATCGTATAGTATCACTGTTCTTAAAACCACTAAGTTACATTAGTATTCGCATTTCTCAGGATCTATTTTAATATGTAACTTTAATAAAAACTAAATGACTGAAGCTCAACCCAAAGAAACTAAATTATAACCTGGATGAAAGAAATAATTTTCTTTCTCTGTGTTACTCATATTCTTACACAGATGTGAGATTAAAAGAACAATGATTAAATTATGCAACACTATTAATTAGAGGCTATCTAAACTAATAGTAGCTAAATTATAATAATGATTCCGTTGATCAAGGCTGCAGTAAGCCATGATCATGCCACTGCACTCCAGCCAGGGCGACAGGGTGAGACTCTGTCTCAAAAAAATAAATAAAATAAAAGTGAGAGGAGGCAGGACAACATGGCCAACTAGAAGCCTCCACCAATTGTCTTCCCTGCAGGAACACCAAATTGCACAACTATCCACACAATAAAAAGCACATTCATAAGAACCAAAACAGCTGCGCAATCATAGCACCTGGTTGTAACTTCATATCACTAAAAGAGGCAAGGAAGAGGGTAGAAAATATAGCCCTGAATCTCTGATAACATGCCTCCTTCATGAACCCATAATGATCATCAGATCACTAGAAGCTACTGTGAACAACGATATGCCAATAAACTGAAAAACCTAGAAGAAACTGATAAATTCCTAGACATATACAACCTACCAAGATTAAACCATAAAGAAATCCAAAACTTCAACAGACCTATAACAAGTAATGAGACTGAAGCCAAAATAATAATAATTTTTTCTTTCCCAGCAATGAAAATCCCAGGACCCAATGTCTTCACTGCTGAATTTTACCAAACATTTAAAGAACTAATGCCAATCCTACTCAAACTATTCAAAAAAAAGCTTCCAAACTGATTCTATAAGCCCAGTGTTACCATGATTCCAGAACCAGATAAAGACACATCAAAAAAAAAAAAGAAAAAGAAAAAGAAAACTACAGGACAATATCCCTAATGAACATTGATGCAAAAATCCTCAACAAAATCCTAGCAAGCCAAATTCAACAACACATTAAAAAGTTCATTATGACCACGTGAGATTTATCCTAGGGATGCAAAGATGGTTCAACATATGCAAATTAATCAATGTGATACATCATATCAACAAAATGAAGGGCAAAAACCATAGGATAATTTCAAATGATGCTAAAAAACCATTTTATAAAATTCAACATCTCTTCATGATACAAACTCTCAAAAACTCGGTATAGAAGGAACATACCTCAACATAACAAAAGCCATATACAACAGACCCACAGATGGTATCTTACTGAATGGAAAAAAACTGAAAGCCTTTCCTATTATATCTGGAACATGAAAACAATGCCCACTTTCACCACTGTTATTTAACATAGTACTGGAAATCCTAGCTAGAGCAATCAGACAACAGGAAGAAATAAAGGGCATTCAAACTGGAAATGAAAAGTCAAATTATCCTTGGAGATGATATGATTTTATATTTGGAAAAACCTAAAGACTCCAGCAAAAAACTATTAAAACTGAGAAGCAAATTCAGTAAGCTGCAGGATAGAAAATCAACATACAAAAATTAGTAGCATTTCTATATGCCAGCAGCGAACAAGCTGAAAAAGAAATCGAGATAGTAATCCCATTTACAACAGCTACATATAAGATAAAATACCTAGGAATAAACTTAACCAAGGAAGTGAAAGATATCTACAATGAAAACTATAAAATATTGATAAAAGAAGTTAAAGAGGACACACAAAAAAATGGAAAGATATTCCATGTTCATGGATTGGAAGAATCAATACTATTAAAATGTTCACACTACCCAAAGCAATCTACAGATTCAATGCAATCCTTATCAAAATACTAATGGCATTCTTCAAAAAATAGAAAAAATAATCCTAAAACTTATATGGAACCACAAAATACCCAGAATAGTCAAAGCTATCCCAAGAAAAAAGAACAAAACTGGAGGAATCACATTACCTGACTTCAAATCATAATACAGAGCTGTAGTAACCAAAACAGCATGGTGCTGGCATAAAAACAGACACACAGACCGATGGAACATTCTAGAGAACCCAGAAACAAATTCATACATCTAAAGAGAACTCATTTCCAACAAACGTGCCAAGAACAACAGTGGAGAAAGGACACTCTCTTCAATAAATGGTGCTAGGAAAACCGGATAGCCATATGCAGAAGAATGCACCTAGAACCCTATCTCTCATCATATACAAAAATCAAATCAAAATGGATTAAAGACTTAAATCTAAGACATCAGGCTATGAAACTACTACAAGAAAACATTGGGGAAACTCTCCAGGACATAGGATTTGGCAAACATTTCTTGAGTAATACCCCACAACCACAGACAATAAAAGCAAATATAAACAAATGAGATCACATCAAGTTTAAAAGCTTCTGCACTGCAGAGGAAACAACAACGCAAAGCGACAACCCACAGAATGGGAGAAAATATTTGCAAACTACCCATCTGACAAGGGATTAATAACCAGATATACAAGGAGCTCAAATAACTCTATAGAAAAAAAGTCTAGTAATCCAATTAAAAATTGAGCAAAAAATCTGACTAGACATTTCTCAAAAGAAGACATACAAATGGCAAAGGGGTATATGAAAAGGTGCTCAATATCACTGATCATCAGAGACATGCAAATCAAAACTACAATATCCCCTTACCCCAGTTAAAATGACTTATATCTAAAACACAGGCAATAACAAATGCTAGCGAGGATATGGAGAAAGAGGAACCCTCATACGATATTGGTGGGGATGTAAATTAGTACAACTACTTTAGAGAACAGTTTGGAAGTTCCTCAAAAAACTAAAAATAGAGCTATCGTGTGATCTAGCAATCCCACTGCTAGGTATATAACCAAAAGAAAGGAAAGCAGTATATTGAAGAGATATCTGCACTCCCATGTTTATTGCAACTCTATTCAAAATAGCCAAAATTTTGAAGCAACCTAAATGTCCACTAAAGATAAATGGATAAAGAAAATGTGGCACATACGCACAATGGAGTACTATTGAGCCATAAAAAATAATGAGATCCTGTCATTTGCACAACATGGATGGAAATGGAGGTTATTATGTTAAGTGAAGTAAGCTAGACACAGAAAGACAAACCACATGTTCTCACTTATTTGTGGGAGCTAAAAATTAAAACAATTGAATTCAAGGAAGTAGAGAGTAGAACGATGGTTACCAGAGGCTGGGAAGCATAAAGTGAGGGAGAACTAAGGATGGTTGATCTGCAGAAAAATATAGTTAGATAGAATAAATAAAATCTAGAATCTGATAGCACAAGAGGATGACTACAATCAACAGTAATTTATCGTACTTTTAAAATAACTAAAAGGATATAATTGGATTGTTTGCAACACAAAGAAAAGATAAATACTTGAGGTGACGGATACCTCATTTGCCCTAGTGTGACTACTACACATTGTATGCTTGCATCAAAATATCTCAAGCGCCCTATAAATATATACACTTACTGTATTCATAAAAATTAATAATTAAAAAAGAAATTTAATGGTATTTTTAAAATAAAATAAAAGTGAGTGATTTTAATGTATACTTCTCTCTAATGGGTTAAAAATGTGAAAATAAAAAATTTAAATTCTACAATGATTAAAAGTCATCTGAAGAAGATAAAAATATATAATATGTAATATCCATCGTTTTATATTCAAACAACTGGGGAATATATATTTATAAAACTGACTCCTTGGGTCAGAAAGCAAGACTTAATACATATTGAACAATTAATAGCACTCAACCACATTTTCTTATCACAATGAAATACAATCAGAAATCAATTAAAAAACTCAAAATATATTTTATATTTGGAAATTTTGAAACACATTTCTAAGTAAATCATTGATTAGTAAAAAATAACAATGGAAATTATAAAACATTTACAACTTTAGGACAACAAAATTACCATCAAAATTAGTTGATTCAGTTTAACTGTTTCGAAGAAAATTTATAGGCTTAAACATAAAAAAAGTTGAAAGTTTATGCACTTAGCATCCAATTCAAGCTCTAGAAAAAAAAATAAAGAATGGAAAAAACACAAAGACAAGGAATTTTGAACCAGTTGTTTTAAAAATTGCCAGGTCCAAACAATTTCCCTAGAAAATTCTAATAAATGTTCAAGAGTATAAAAAATCTCTAAATTTGTTGCAGAAAATAGAAAAACAGGAAGATCTTCTGGAACCAATCTTTCGAAGCAAGCATGTGAAACAAAAACTGGACAATTAAAAAAGGGAAAAAATACGCCACTCTACTACATAGATACAAAAACCTTAAATAAAATATTAGCAAATGTAATCCAGCAATGTACAAAATAATAATACCTAATGTCCAAGTAAAATATATATCAGGGATGCAAGAAAATGTTAACATTAGAAAATATGTTAATTTAATTTATAACAATATCAATTAAAGGAGAAAAAAGCATGTCTATTTTACTAAATGCAGAAAATTTCATAAAATTCAACATGCATTTATAATGACAATATGAGACATTACATACTTTCTAAATAGTCAGATACTAAATTATAGCATCATAAGTATTGACAAGAATATGGAGAAATCAAGTTCAATTCATTGCCAGTGAACATATGAATTAATATTTTGAAGAGCAAATAAGATCAGGTAAAGTTGATCCCACAATTCCACTTACAAGTATGGGGCAAAAGAAATGAGGAAGAAAAAGCTAGTCTATGCCACCATCTAGTGGCCTTAGAATATAATAGAAGTTGTGATTTCTTCAGCCGCGCTTACAAAGGAGTCCTGAAAGTACCTATGTAAGGATGGACCAAAAACTTACAAACATATACAGTATATATGCAGTTACTGCCCTCACTAACTGTTGGGCCCACATTGGCTCCACCCATCCTGCTTCCTTCTGAAGATTTGCATGAACCTAACCACGTGACACAACCAAGTAGAAATATCTCAGACAGAGTGCTTCCTATGTCCACCTCATATAATTTTTTTCACCACCCTTCAAACAATACCTATTGTTTCATGAGTCTTAAAAAGATACTACTCCAAATTGACCAGACTAGATTGGTAATAACTTAAAAGTTGGTCAATACTAAGTATTGGCAAGAATATGATGCAAAGTGAAGCCTCATACACTTCTATTTAGGGTACAAATTTGGAAACTTAGCAAAGATGAATATATAACCCAAAATCAAACAAAGGAAACAAATGAACAAAAAAGCTTTTAAAATTAACAAAAATTACAAGAAAGATGAATGTATATACTGACTGACCCAGAAAACCTCTCCTTGGTATATTCTCTAGAGCAGTGGCTCTTGATCCCAAAGGACACCCAGGCATAGAACTCAAGGGGCCTAGTAACTTGGATGGGAAAAAAACTGCATCTTTATTTTTATCAACCTCAATTGAACCTTAGTAGTTCCTGCTGCCAGACAGTTTTACTTATGAGTTCACTAAATTGTCAAGGAACAGTCATCATCTTATTCAAGTTATTTAGCAAAAAAAAAAAAAAAAAAAAAAAAAATTGAGAAACCTGCCTGATCCATTTATTTTTATTTCATATTCAGATGAGAACAGTACAAGCAGATAAAGCTTTTTGGCTTATTTCACTTATAACATCGATGTGGAAATAATAAATAAAATATAAAATGGAATCTTCCAATAATAGCATTTGGAACAACTCTCCTGCAGCTAACTGTACACTCTAGGAAAAATATGTTTTAAATTTCTTTTTGGAGGTGATAATTTCAGTTGCTGCTTACCTCGGAGAACTGTTCTTTTCACAAAGAACAATAAAAATAATAGTAGATAAAGAGTGCAATAGAAAACTTTTTTAGGCAATGGATTGTTTATGGCATAGATTGTGGTAATGGTTTCCTGGGTGTATGCTTATCTTCAAACTCATTAAATTGCATACATTAAATATGTGTAACTTTTTGTTATGTCAATTGTATCTCAATAGAATGTTTTTTAAGTCCTTGCACTCATAGAGCTTTCATTGAAATAACTGAATATATACTCTTTTTTTTTTTTTTGAGGCAGAGTCTCGTTCTGTCCCCCAGGCTGGAATGCAGTGGCGCGATCTCGGCTCACTGCAACCTCTGCCTTCTGGGTTCAGGCAATTCTCTTGCCTCAGCCTCCCAAGTAGCTGGAATTACAGGCACGCAACACCACGCCCAGCTAATTTTTTGTATCTTTAGTAGAGACGGGGCTTCACCATGTTGGCCAGGCTGGTCTCAAACTCCTGACCTCATGATCCGCCTGCCTCAGCCTCCCAAAGTGCTGGGATTACAGGTGTGAGCCACCGCACCCGGCCTACATACTCTTGAAGGGTGACATTTATATAAAGATATATTCATTTCTTCACTAGACTGACAATATCTCTAAAACAAGAATAGTATCTTGTTAATTTTGTATCCCCAATAAACACCTAGACTATTACAGGTAATAATATAGGTAAAAATGTTTTTTTACCTTACAGGGAAAAAGAAACTTCCTGAAATCAAGATCTTGAAAAGATATTTGCATGCCAGTGTCATTCAGCATTGTTCACAATAGTCTAAATATGGAAACAACCTAAATGTCCAGCAACAGATGTTCGGATAAAGAAAACATGTGTACATGTGATATAATGGAATATTATTCAGCCTTTAAAAAGAAGGAAATCCACCTGGCCAACATGGCAAAACCCCGTCTCTACTAAAAACACAAAAATTAGCCAGGCGTGGTGGCAGGCGCCTGTAACCCCAGCCACTCTGGAGGCTGAGGTGGGAGAATCACTTGAACCTGGGAGGCGAAGGTTGCAGTGAGCCAAGATCACGCCATTGCACTCCAGCCTGGGCAACAAGAGGGTGACTCCATCTCAAAAAAAAAAAGAAGAAGGAAATCCTGCCATATACAATAACATGGCCGAACCTTGGTAACACTATACTAAGTAAAGTAAGCCAGTCACTGCAAGACAAACACTGTAGGATTACACTTATATCAACTTATATCAACTACCAAAAAGAACCAAATTCATAGAAGCAGAAAAGAGAATGATGGTTTCCAGGGGCTAGGTGGGGGGCAGACAGAAATGAAGAGTTACTATTCAACAAATATAAAAGTTTCAATTATAAAAGATTAATATCTTCTAGATATCTGTTGTACAACATAGTGCTCATAGTTAACGATGCTGTTATTGCATGCTTAAAAATTTGTTAAGAGAGTACATCTCATATTATCATGTTAAATGCTCTTACCACAACAAACACACAAATATATACTTACACACATACATACATTTTCCTGAAGTGGCCAAAAGCATCCAGAAACTGGATTGGAGCAGTCGATATTTGCCAGAAAAAATGGCATGGATGATTTACTTTTGCTGATTTTAAGATAAGAGAAGGACCTAGTCAGCGTCATTTTACAGGGTAACTAAAATCCAGGTAGAAAACATCAGTCTTACTGGCCTGAAGGAACAGGACAGAGTTCATGAAGGTCATGGAGATTGAAAATCTGGAAGATAAAGCCACAGAAAATAGGCAGACAGACCAACGAGAGCCTCAAATTTTTGTGTTTACTATACCCAAATACCGGCTGATCTCTACACTATACGTAAGTGATGTTAAGCCTAAAAGACCTGAACAAAGATTTCAATTGCTGCCCACCTCAGGGAAGACAAGTTTGAAAATGGAGTCCTGCTGAATTACAGTCTGCTAAAAGAATATATCAATATTGAGTCAAATTCCACTTTCCAAGAATAACCTGAGAAATATTTTTACTTCAACATGCTTTTCTGAAATATTGCCAGTGCCTGCCTCAAGAGGTAGAGTCTTTTCATCTTTGTATATTCCTACAACATTGAGTGGACATCAAGTTTATTTGGCATCAAAATTTAGCAAAGGGCCTTATATATATGTGTTCTCCAAATATTAAATGAATTGTGAATGTTCTTCGAGTTGAGGCTTACACAATTGCAGAGGTGCTTACAAAAATGTAAGTGTGGTTGAGTTTAAAAACACAAAGACCTGGAAGTAAAACAGCAGTATCTGGAGCCAGAAAGTTGACAGAGGATGAGTGGAGTTGGAGAAGTCTCTTGGGAAACCACGGCAGCACTGTGCTGTCCTTTGATGCTGTGAGTTCACAGCTTTGGTTATTACACCCTATGTGTGCTTTGCCTCACTAAGAAAAAATGTACATCACACTCATTTTTCATTTTACAAAAGGGCATTATGAGAACTTCTGACAGTGGAAATGGGCCTTAACTCTTACGGTAGAGAAAGTGAAAATAATCTCTGAGCCTAGTCCTCCAATATTGTTATTACCCTCAAAAACCTAAAGAAAAGTGAAAGGTTGCTGAGAATCCAGCAGAAAACTATTTCATTTCCACTTGTTATATGTAGGGGTTTTTTTTCCTGTTTTCCATTTTAAAATATTATGAATTTGTTAAAAATGTCTGAAAAATTAACATGGACAAATATATACAATGTAGTATGCACAATAAACATCAGGTAATAAATCAAGAAATACAGTGTACTCTCAAGCATGTAAACACAGTATATGCATAGAGGTATATTAATATTTACATCTGTAATTATGAGTGATTTTCTTTCCTCCTTTAGATTTTTTGGAATTTCTCAAATTTTCTATTCTGAGTATGTATTATTTGTATAATCAGGGAAGTAGCAATTCAAAAAAGAAAGAAAATTACTGCTTAATAAGTTAGGTATGGCCAGGTGCGGTGGCTCACGTCTGTAATCCCAGCACTTTAGGAGGCTGAGGTGAGCGGATCATGAGGTCAAGAGTTCAAGACCAGCCTGGCCAACATAGTGAAACCCTGTCTCTACTAAAAATACAAAAAATTAGCCTGGCATGGTGGTGGACACCTGTAATCCCAGCTACTCAGGAGGCTGAGGCAGGAGAATCGCTTGAACCCAGGAAGCGGAGGTTGCAGTGAGTAGGGATTGCGCCACTGCACTCCAGCCTGGGCGACAGTGGGAGACTCTGTCTCAAAAATAATAAGTTAGGTATAATCAGATCTTTGAGATATTAGCCCTAATGTATGTAAAAGTCACGATCTTCCACCTTATTTAAAGATTCAACTTTAAATCACTTCTGGGATTACAGTCTCTCAGAAGAAAACCAAGGAGGATTTAAATTGGCTACCAGAGCCACTGGCAGGTCCTCTGGAAATATTGGGGCTCAGAGGAAGGAAAGTACTTATGTGACACATTAATTTACTATTGGATATAAAATTATGGCTGAAAGCTTTATTGTTTATCTCTCCCATGCCACTTTTAAGAGTTGTGATTGTGTTCTAGAGTATGGCTATAGCTCAAAGAGAGAGAGCTGAGACGTCAACTGATTGAGAAGGAGCAGCTACAGTGACTTCAGTATGTGGACACAAGAAGTTAGCAAAACACTGATGAAAAAGAGGGAGACTGTTTTGGAAGAAACTGAAATCCCAATAAGTCATGCTATCCATTGTAAGTGGAGAAGATGAGGACCCTATACAGATGTTTGAAATGGGAACATTAGGGCAAAGCTGGGAAGAAGTATTTTCAGAAAGAAAGAGGTAAATGGATGAAGTATACGTCTTCCAGCTAAGATGCAGTACTTCTCCTTATCAGTAGCCAAAGGGTAATATGGAGTACATGGACTGGGGCACAGTAGGCTTATAGAGATTCAAGGGCACTGCACTGTGACATAGCCCTAAAGACAGCGAGGGCATGAAGACAGCAGGGTGAATCAATCCCAGCACTGAGCCCATGGCTAACTGAAACTTCCAGCAACAAACACATATTTTTGGTAACCAAACAGAAACGTGGATGAAAAAACCCAGGATAATTATCTAACCTATGCGAGAGGGAGAGAAGAGGCCTTGTTCTAACTAGAGCACTGCTGCTTATTATTAGCTCCTTTGGGGCTCAGAAGGGCTCATTTATTCGGACAAGCACTGGAGCTCTAGTACCAGGGATGTTGGCTATTGTGAAGAATAAGTTATTATATAAACAGCAGGATAATCTAGCTGGAGTAGGAGATAGGATACAATAAATACTTAGTGAATTCAATTTCCTTCTGAGGGCGCAGTCTGTTTTGAGAGTTTCTTTGGTTAAAATGAGGGAATCTGGGTGAGTACATATGCTTTACAAGCAAAATACTACTCTTTCTTATTGGTAAACATGGGGAGAAGGGTGAGCACTTCAGAAACATATTTCTCAAGCAGAGTTTGATTTTCATCTATAGGTGATATCCAATGCTGAGCATCAATCTAAAGACCAGACCGACCCTTTGGAAAGAGATGTACAAAAAAACAGAGAGCCAGGGGCACTGGAACTTTACCCATTTTTGGCAGAAATGAAACTGAGGTAATAATCATTGCTATTACTCCCCTACCCCTTCCCACCATGGGTATCTCCTCTGCCTTCTCTTTTTACTGTGTGATACAGTTGGATGTCTTATCATCCTACCCACACTGCCCACCTTAGCCACATTCTAAGTGGTGAGCTCTAGAATCCTAATCTAAGAACTGGGACTGTGTTAGTGTGTCTTCTCAGAGTGAATATATTTGTCAAGTTGATCTCTTGAAGTCAGAATATTCAATGGCATTAAGTCAGTTTATGTCATAAATCAACAGAAAGCCTTTCTCCAATTTTCTTTCCAATAACTATTCTCACTTGATCTTGGGTATTAGTGAAAATTGGACCAAAATTCTTCAAACTCTCACCACTGTTTCCTTCAAAGGAGAATTTAAAATATTATGTATTTTTATAATCAGAAAATATACATTCTTTTCAAAAAGTTAGAAAATGAGGCAAAATGAAGAACAGTAATAATCCCTCCAAGAACCACATTCCAGAAAAAAAAAAAAAACTGGTTAAGATTTCAATGTAACTTCTTTCAGTCACATATATACAAAACTGTGATCATTTATATGCTTATGAGACAGTCTTCTTTTTTTTTTTTTTTTGAGATGGAGTCTCGCTCTGTCGCCCAGGCTATAGTGCAGTGGCAAGATCTTGGCTCACTGCAACCACCACCTTCCGGGTTCAAGCGATTCTTCTGCTTCACCCTCCCAAGTAGCTGGGACTACAGGCACGTGCCACTATGCCTGGCTAATTTTTGTATTTTTAGTAGAGATGGGGTTTCACCATATTGGCCAGGCTGGTCTCGAACTCCTGACCTTGTGATCCGCCTGCCTCAACCTCCCAAAGTGCTGGGATTACAGGCGTGAGCCACCGCGCCCGGCCGAGACATTCTTTTTAACACAGTATTATATCATGGGGATTTTCCTTTTCATTTACTATTCTCCAAGATTACAACTTTCATAGTTGTTTAACATATGAGAGGATGTATTCTTATGTGTATATTATAACCTACCAACCCCACAAACCAGAATTCCAGCACCTGGAGGTAAAAAAAAAAAAAAAAAAAAAGCATAGCAACCTTTTAAACCATGATTAAACTTGAAACATAATAGGACATATGGATCCAACCCATGGATATGCTATTCCATTTGGTTGGCTCATTCTAGTGAAAAATTGTTGATAATAGTGCTAACACTATCTTTGCAAACTTTAAGAAAAAACACTGCTACAGTTTCACCATTTTGAATTATGCTGCCCAATGATTTGAGAGTAATAATCTCCTTTATCATCTTAATTCTCGATCTTCCTGTATCTAGATTACTCAGAGGTCTGACCAAGAGTGAATGTTGTATTTTACCAAATGCACTTTAGCGTCTTGTTAGAAGACCATGTGTTGGGTTTTTTGCTTATTTGTTTAGTATGTTGATAGATTTTCAAATATTAATTTGGAATTTTATTAATCCATGAAATAAATTGTATCACTTTAGTATATACAGTTTGGATGTACTTTAATTATGGTTATACCATATACATTCATAAATAAGATTATCTACAGTTTTCGTCTATCTTTGAAAGTTTGGGAAAACAAGGCTATTTTTGCTTGATAAAATGTTTCTACAAAATGTTCTATAACTTTTTCACATTGAAACATATTATACAGCACAGAAATTTTTTCTTGAAAGTGTGAAATAACTATTGTAAGCATTCTGCATCCAGTGCAAAATCCAGTCTTGATTTTGAAAGTCAAGATCTCACAATAGGATCTCTATTACCTACCATAGTATACATGGCATAGTTTCTGTTGAATAAATGTAGAATTCTGTAAGACAGATATGCACAGTTTTATGACAGTATATAAAAAGGGCATCCTCCTCACAATAGTAGGTGAGAAAGCTTTCCTAGAAAAGGTAATAGATAAGAACAATCCTTCCAGTTTAAGAAGACGCCACACACAAATGCATAATGATGAAAATGCAAGCTGGGCGCAGTGGCTCAATGCCTGTAATCCCAGCACTTTGGGAGGCCGAGGCGGGCGGATCACCTGAGGTCAGGAGTTCGAGACCAGCCTGACCAACATGGTGAAACCCCAACTCTACTAAAAATACAAAAATTAGCTGGGTGTGGAGGCAGGAGGCTATAATCTCAGCTACTCGGGAGGCTGAGGCAGGAAAATCACTTGAACCCAGGAGGCAGAGGTTGCAGTGGGCCAAGATCACACCATTGCACTCCAGCCTGGGTGACAAAGTGAGACTCTGTCTCAAAAAAAAAAAGAACAAAAAAAAAAAAAAAGAAAGAAAATGCAGTATTATGGGGAGACTGAGCAAAACTCATCATGGTCAGTGCAGAGCATTTGGGACATCAGTAGTGGCTCCAGAGTTAGAGAGAACCAGAGTTGACAATGTGATTAGAGGATGAACTAGAGGACTTTCGTTGAAGCTGCAGAGCAAGCACATATTTTCCTTTAAGTTGTATTTCTCTATTAGGATGTCTTTTGTGAGGAGACTGATGGCGATCATGGGGAAACAAAGTCCTCCTAATAATTCCTCCTTAACACAGTCATGGGAGGAGACATGGTATGAATTGGAGAAAGATACCTAATAGGTTAGGATAGGCCTGTGTAATGGGTTGATTCAGTGTCTTTGGCGAAGTTACCGTTTCCCTTTCTCTTGTTTTGATCTAAATCCTGAAATATTTCACTAACACATATAAGCTGAAAAGAATAAATTAAAATTTAAAATAAATTCTGAAACATGGACTTCTTCACCTGGGATCTTTTCTGAATAGAAAGAAAGACAGCCATTCTTCTTCCTTCATCTTTGTATCCTCGACATCCCCACCTATAGGGTAAACACATAAAGCATACCCTTAGAATGACACTGTAATGACAGAGGCACCCGAATGTGTGTTCTGATCTAGGGAATCTAGGAGTAGCCAACCCAGAGATTTGTTCTTTCTCTGTGATAAACAGCCTGTCCCAAACATGGGCCGTGCAGGGAATTGGGTCCCTAAGCTTTTGGTTGGATGAAGGTTGCCAGGTGGAGGTTGTTAAGGAGAGGATTAAGTGAAAATGCCATATAAAACTGCATGATTTTACAGGTAGTTGTGGTTTTTCTGTCCAGCCCACCACCCCTGGACTCTCTCCCTGTATGTAATTCCCTAATAAACCCCATGTCTCATTTGCTGACTCTGGGTCTCTTGGCCTTTTGCACCTGGTGCCGCCCCTATTGAGATTAATAGGGGTTTAGCACAACACCATCGCCCAAGATACAAGTGGTAAGTTTAGTGTTCTTTCTATGCTAGCACAAATTTGTTTCTTCTCCACCTCTTCTTTCCTTCCACTTTCCTCTACTTCAAAACAGCTATGCTCTATCTAATTAAAACGGCTACCGTAACTGCCCACTTTGTGGGAACAAATCCATATGCCAATGTAGATAGAGACAGGAAAAAGAAGTGCAAGACAAAGGGAATATTTTCCAACATACCAACACATTGGTATCATCTAATTTTTTTTAATCTCCTCCCAAATCATGGTGTAGGTAGTACTCTCTAAGAGGAAGACAAAGGATATGGAAAGGGAATGGAGAAACTTTTTCCCTTCATCTCCCTGGAGCCAGTACTCCACTACTCCCTGGAGCCACTACTGATGCCCCAAATGGTCTGCAAAGACCATGCTGAGTTTCTTCTAGTCTCCCCATAATACTACATTTTTCATCATTATGCAACAGGGAGCTAGGAGGGCTTGCCATCTATGACTACCCAGAGAGTAAGCATTCATCCTGTCTTCAAAGTCTCTGGATATGAAAAGGCCAAAGCAAAAGTGTGGTTGTAGGGTCAGAATAAGATCAGTAAGAAATATTCTCATTCCACAAGGAGAGCCCAGCATAGATATAGTTCTTGTGGTAATAGTGTAACAATGTATGAGAAACAGCCCTTTATATAAGACATCTTAACACAATACTTGGACATATCAATGTAATGAATATGAAACGAATGGAGCACATTGAGTTTTCAAAGATGTGGCACTAATGTTATAAATGGGAGTAGTTTCTCAAAAGACTCTATGCTGCATTTAGATTTGCAGAGTGAGGGCAGGGGCTGTGGTATTTTTGATATGTTACTGATAAAGGCAAAGGTGGGCTGGGCATGGTGGCTCACACCTGTAATCCCAGCACTTTGGGAGGCTGAGGAGGGTGGATCACCTGAGGTCAGGGATTCAAGACCAGCCTGGCCAACATGGTGAAATCCCATCTCTACTAAAAATACAAAAATTAGCTGGGTGTGGTGGTATGCGCCTGTAATCCCAACTACTTGGGAGGCTGAAGCAGGAGAACCACTTGCACCTGGGAGGCGGAGGTTGCAGTGAGCTGAGATTACACCACTGCACTCCAACCTGGGCAACAGAGTGAGACTCTGTCTCAAAAGAAAAACAAAGAAAGAAAAGAAAAAGGCAAAGGTGATGAAAAGGACTTTTGTATCATTATTCTTGATCATGCTTTTTTTCATAGCTGTGAAATCGCCTTCTACACATAGAAAACTGAGCAGACCAGGCAGGGTGGCTCATGCCTGTAATCCTAGCAGTTTGGGAGGCCAAGGTGGGAGGATCACTTGAGGCCAGGAGTTCGACACCAGCCTGGCCAATATGATATGAACCCCGTCTCTACTAAAAATACAAAAATTAGCCAGGTGTAGTGGAGCATGCCAGTAATCTCAGCTACTCGGGAGGCTGAGGCAGGAGAATCGCTTGAATGTGGGAGGTGGAGGTTGCAGTGAGCTGAGATCGCGCCATTGCACTCCAGCCCAAGCAACAGAGCAAGATTCCGTCTTAAAAAAAAAAAAAAAAAAAAAAAACAGCGAGAGAAAAGAAAAGAAAACTGAGCAGACCACAATCAAAAGCTACAGGAAAAAGTAAGTGGTCCAGCCTTCAGAGTTCTCCATCACATCACATATGATCAGAATCACAAGTAAATGATGTTTGCTGTCTCACTGTACCCCAACAGAAGATACATTTTTGTAATAGTCTTCTCTTGCGTGGAATCTGTGTAGTAACCACTGAGAGAGAGTAGTGTATGGTGGGTAAAAGGGCTGATTCTATAGCCAGATGGCTAGATATTGAATTCTGGCTTTAGTATTTACTATCTGTATGACCTTGAGAAAGTTACTTAAACTTTTCTTTGTCTCTGTTTCCTACTTTGTAAAATGGCAGTAATACTACACTTAAGAAGAGAGAATCCCAGGGCCTGGAAAAAAAGCTGTACATGCTGGGACCTAGACTCCTTAATCTCTGGAAGCTTCTAGAACAGTCCTCCAATGATTCTCAGACTCCTAACAGGTTTTTGAAAGAAGTGCAATGAAATATCCCACTGAGAACAAAAATGTTCACAGTCTGTCAAGTGTGGTTTCAAACTTTAAACCTTTTACCTTTAAAAAGCTAAATCTACTTTTCCCTTTTAAGATTGGTAGATCTAAATATTATACTATAATTCATAAAATGCATGTGTATAAAAATACATTTAATATTATATCTTGTATAAGGTAAATATAATTATATTACATATATGCATACACACACACACACACACATATGCCATGTTGGAACCATTAGGTTCTAGGCACCTAATATTTTATCTAATTCTAACTATACTCTAAGAAATAATTATTGCTTTTTCCAAGCTTACTATGAACTATCTGCAACTCAGAAAAATAAACAACTTACCAAAGCTACATCCAGGTTAAATGATATGTCACTGGCAGTCTATAAAATCTTTTAAATAGAGGCCAGCTTCATCAAAAAAACAGCTTTAAGTTCAAAATCTCTTTCTACATTTGAAAGCAGCATGTTCCTAAACTTTATTTGACACTTCCCAGAATAATTCTGGCAGTATTGGTAGCTTTGAATGTGCTGCTGTGTAGTCCTAAGATATATTGGGTTTCTCAATGTCTCAATTTTCATAATCAATAAAACTAGTACAATATCCATACTGTTTTGCTTACTGAGAGTATTCTAAGAATCAAACACAATATCGGAAGCAAATTTGTATTGAAAATTTGTAGATGTACAGATTTACAGATTTTGATGTATCAAACATTTCAATTTACCTGAATCATGTCCTTTTCTATACTACCCAGCAGGCAGGTGACCTAGAACACATGGAGACAAGAAATTACTCTGCCATGACTGAATTCTTTCTGGTGGGGCTTTCCCAATATCCAGAGCTCCAGCTTTTTCTGTTCCTGCTCTGCCTCATCATGTACATGATAATCCTCCTGGGAAATAGCCTCCTCATTATCATCACCATCTTGGATTCTCGCCTCCATACTCCCATGTATTTCTTTCTTGGAAACCTCTCATTCTTGGACATCTGTTACACATCCTCATCCATTCCTCCAATGCTTATTATATTTATGTCTGAGAGAAAATCCATCTCCTTCATTGGCTGTGCTCTGCAGATGGTTGTGTCCCTTGGCTTGGGCTCCACTGAGTGTGTCCTCCTGGCTGTGATGGCCTATGACCACTATGTGGCCATCTGCAACCCACTGAGGTACTCCATCATCATGAACGGAGTGCTGTATGTGCAAATGGCTGCATGGTCCTGGATCATAGGCTGTCTGACCTCCCTATTGCAAACAGTTCTGACAATGATGTTGCCTTTCTGTGGGAATAATGTCATTGATCATATTACCTGTGAAATTTTGGCCCTTCTAAAACTTGTTTGTTCAGATATCACCATCAATGTGCTTATCATGACAGTGACAAATATTGTTTCACTGGTGATTCTTCTACTGTTAATTTTCATCTCCTATGTGTTTATTCTCTCTTCCATCCTGAGAATTAATTGTGCTGAGGGAAGAAAGAAAGCCTTCTCTACCTGTTCAGCGCACTCGATTGTGGTCATCTTATTCTACGGTTCAGCCCTTTTTATGTACATGAAACCCAAGTCAAAGAACACTAATACATCTGATGAGATTATTGGGCTGTCTTATGGAGTGGTAAGCCCAATGTTAAATCCCATCATCTATAGCCTCAGGAATAAAGAGGTCAAAGAGGCTGTAAAGAAAGTCCTGAGCAGACATCTGCATTTATTGAAAATGTGAAAAACCTTGGGCATGCGATATCCTCAATGGGGCAAGAGAGCTTGTCTTTTGTATTTAGATACTGCAAAACCTACTGTCACGAGAGCTTGTGTGTTTGCAAAACCAACTATTAGATTCCCATTCTTTTCAACGTAGAATTTTCATGCTCATGTAACCTTCTTAATAGTGCCTTGTCTGCTGGGTTTGTAGCTGTAAGCAGTTCTGCAAACTGGCCCTATAAAAATATTGATGCTGTCCATTAAAATGAATCTCTCTCTCTCACTCAGTCTCTCTCTCTGTCTGTCTCTCTTTCTTCTCTCTCCTGCCATGTGTGTGTCTCTCTCTACTCCTCTGATTTTGTCCTCTCTCTCTATTCTGCTACTCTCTCTCCTCTCCTCCGTATATTTTCTTTCTCTTCCTTTCTTTTCTGTTGTCTCCTTTCTCAGTCACTTTGAAGTGGATATATAGTTGTTGTGCAGCATCCCTGCACAATATTGCCACCCAATTGACAGATCTGCATAATATATATTAATAGAAAGATGTATATTTTTCTTTTAATGAACCAAAGTCCCCCACTCTCAGTCTATGTTGTACATGGTGGGGCTGACCCAAACCTCTGAAAATAAAGATAAGCATGGAAGAGGTCTTGGCAAAAAAAAAAAAAAAAAAGAAAGAAAGAAAGAAAGAAAGAAAGAAAGAAAGAAAGAAAGAAAGAAAGAAAGAAAGGATGTCTAATTCCTCTAGTCATAGTGATTGGTATAGTGCAGGATGTGACCCGAGCCATACTAATTAGACTCCATCCCAGGAATGCTGCCTTTGTCAGAAAGACACACTGTTTTTTGAAATGGTGTCTAAACTGGTAGAATGTTAACTCAGAATTCCTACTGGCAACCATTGCCAATATGTGAGGACAGCATGAGAATGAAAGCAGAGCTGAGATACAGAGTGTGCTTGATGGTGTCACTTTAACTCTTGAACGCAGCTGTAGCTAAAGCCAGATTCACCGTTGCAGATTTTATTTATGAGTCAAATTAGCATTTTATGAAAAACTAATTTGACCTGGATTTTACCACATACGACAAAATAAATCCTAATATATTCCTTTGTCCTATCTTCCTCTCCATCCTCTTACATTTTAAGGCAATAATAATAATAACAAGGTATGTAATCTGAGAGGTTCCAAGTTCTCCAGCCTGTAGGAGTTCCCTTTCTCATTAATAACTAAATTACAATAATCTAACCTCTATTCTGCATTACTTCAGGCATTTCAGTCATCTCCCCAATTATTTCTATGGAGCATTTACGTTTCTAATTTTTTGTTCTCATATTTTTCATCAAATTGATTTATGGACTTCTTACCATTTTTCTCTGTGCTTCAATCAATATATTGGTACTTGAAATAACTGCATTTTGCTTTTCTACATAATGTTTTTTAGTTTAATAAACATTGTCATTTGGTGGATTATGGTAGATTACTGTGTTATATATAAATACATATAAGTAGTAATAAGCCAAATTAAGGCAGAATTCCCTTAAGGGTGTTGCATATCTGATTTTGTCCACTCTGGGGACCAGAATCATAACTGTAATAGATTAGACAGGGCTCACTTAATTCAGTTATACAGAGATATAATTCCTAGATTATATGGAACTCAGAATTTGACAAAAACAAAAATAACTAATCTATTAATCTACAGGATAAAAATTTTTAAAGCCTGGTATGGTGGTGCATGCCTGTAATCCAAGCTGCTTTGGAGGCTGAAGTGGGAAGACTGCTTGAGCCCAGGAGTTCGAAACCAGCCTGGGCAACATAATGAGATCCCATCTCAAAAAAGTGAGAGAGAGATTTTAAAATGTTTTAAATTCCTTACCATGGTATACCAGACCCATATAATCTTAACCCCACCTAGTTTTACCACTTCATTTCCTACCACCTAACGATATTCATTAGACTCTCATTACACTCTCATTTCACTACCTTCTTGTTTCTCAAATATGCCAAAGCCTTTGCCTTTATTATTCCTTCTATCTGGGACACTCCTCCCCTCGATCTTCCAAGGGTTCCCTCTGTCATTTCAAATAAGTTTTTGCATAAATGTCTAATATATTCGTCTTATAAAAGTTGTAACATGTTTTTTTTTCCACAGCATTTCACTCCTTTAAAATGCTGTATGTATTTATCTTTTCTATGGATTTATTGTCTATTTTCTACAGGAAAAGTTCCTTGTAAGCAGGTACTTCTCCTTATCTATTGCTATCTTTTCCCAGTGTGTAGATCAATGAGAGGCAAATAATAGCTAATACATAGGCATTGGATGTGAAAAAGCATTCTGTAAAGCAATATTATGAACTTACTTTGGAGTATATTCATACATAAATGTATGCTTCCTTCTGACTAAATAACTAGCAGGAACCCTAAGACCAGTAGTTAAAGGACTATATTCTATACATTCCCAGTACTATCTTCTTTCCACACACTTTTCAATCCAGGTTCTGTTGATTCTCTTATATGTTGACATGAGCTTCTCATTCCATAATGTCTGTGCTGAAATCAGTCACTACATCTTGCAGGAATTTGATTTGTCTGGAGAAAGTCATTTGTCATTGCATTTGAAAATACAAAGACAATTTTAATATATGCTTTATTAATTGATTTTTGTGAAGGTTTGTTTCAGAGTGTACTGCAAATTACTGCATACATGTTGTCCATTGCTATGGAAGTACTTTTGTTTCATTTTTCCCTTCTCTTTTTAAAACGTCAGAATAAATTTCTGTCTCAAAATTTATCTAAGTGCTTGTTATCTTTTTTGCAGACTCTATCATAGTCAATGTTTTCTATTGTGCTGTTGGTTGAAGAGAGGATAGTAATATAATTCTACTGCTGTACAGAGTCCCTTCTTGATTAAGGTCCAGGCAGTAAGTTTCCTATTTTACACTAACATACTACTTCTTGGGAAACTCCATTTGGCATACCCTCTGATGGAAATAATTCAGTGAAATACCAATTATTAATGTAGTAACTGCTTGAAAAAGTAGAAGATAGTATTACCAGACTCTAAAAACATTTACAAATGTAACATCCTTGAAAGAATATTTGATTTTTGATTCCAAATATCTCTTACACATAATGTTAAAAAGGTTAAACTCGACATAACACAAATTTTGGGCCAGGCGCAGTGGCTCATACCTGTAATCCCAGTACTTTGGGAGGCCGAGGCGGGCAGACCACGAGGTCAGGAAATTGAGACCATCCTGGCTAACACGGTGAAACCCCGTGTCTACTAAAAATACAAAAAATTAGCCGGGCGTGTTGACACAAGCCTGTAGTCCCAGCTACTCAGGAGGCTGAGGCAGGAGAATCGCTTGAACCTGGGAGGCGGAGGTTGCAGTGAGCCAAGATCGTGCCACCGCAATCCAGCCTGGGCGACAAAGCAGAGTTGAAAGAAAGAAGGAAGGAAAGAAAGGAAAGGAAAGGGGAGGGGAGGGGAGGGGAGGGGAGGGGAGGGGAGGGGAGGGGAGGGGAGGGAAGGGGAGGGAAGGGAAGGGGGGAAGAAAAGAAAGAAAGAGAGAGAAAGGAAGGAAAGAAAAGAAAAAGCTCAAATGTCTCAAAACTATAAATAATTCTTAATTGGGAGAAATATACTCACACCTTAAAAAACAAATCAACAGTACCAGAGACGAAGACATTTAAGTGAAAATTTTTAAATGTATCAATAAGGAGGGCTACTTTTATAAGGGAAAACGCATATACTATTGTCAAGAATAAAAACTTTTTTCAGACTGATCATTTTAGAAGAAATTTGAAAAAGAATATACTTGTAAAAAAAGACAACTGAGGCCGGGTGCAATGGCTCATGCCTGTAATCCCAGCACTTTGGGAGGCTGAGATGGGCGGATCACGAGGTCAGGAGTTTGAGACCAGCTTGGCCAACATGGTGAAACCCCGTCTCTACTAAAAATACAAAAATTAGCGGGGCATGGTGGCACGTGCCTGTAATCCCAGAAACTTCGGAGGCTGAGACGGGAGAATCGCTTGAACCCAGGAGGCGGAGGTTGCAGTGAGCCGAGATCGTGCCATTGCACTCCAGCCTGGGTGACAGAGCAAGACTCCGTCTCAAAAAAAAAAAAAAACTGTAGTAATTTTAGGTTGTCATGTTCAGAGTGAATAGTATTATCTCTAGTTTTATTTTCCCCATAAACTAGATTCTTTCAACTAGAGTTTTTATGGAAGCATAGGTAATTCCCATAATGCATAAAAATACTTTAAATAATACATGATAAATACTACATAAAATACTTTTAAAATAATGTATATCGTATTATTTTAAAACTGAGGCTAAGAATAATGGGCACCCTTGTAAAATCCTAACTTGAGAGAGAAAGTAATGCTAGCTTTATTAATACCTCTCATCACTTATTTCTAGAGGCTGTTGTATGGAACTCAGTCATGGGAAGAGGATCCTCCTTCTCCATCTAACAATCTACCTGAATGGCATCACTTGTGTGCCTTACTGTTTAAAAAGCATAAAAATCTAAATTTACAGTATTAAAAAAATGACATAGGGAGGAGGGTAAGCTTCTTTTATATTACCTGTAGATCTTTATTAAACTGGACTTCATAAGTGTTTCTGATACATGAAATTTTTCTTGGCATGCCATAAATGGTTTTCCAAAGAAATTTAGGATGATCACTTCCAGTATGGCCGTGTAAGCTCCTAACTCTAATGCATATAACAGTATAATGGATATGGATATGGACAAAGTACATAAAACAAACATTAGTCAATGTAAAAAGCAGACAGATTCAGGATGGATTTGAAACTCAGAAAAAGGAAAATTATGAGTTGAGTTGGAGAAGAGCAAAGATCATCTGGTGGCTTGAGTTGGAGAAGAGCAAAGATCATCTGGTGGCTATCAAGCAAACCATCCAGAGGCAAAACTCCTTATCTGAAGAATTTAGAAGTAATTAGACTTCCCTATTATCTAAAGCAGGCATCTGGTACCAGGCTTCTTTCCCCCAAATTAATAAATAACTAGAATTTCTATACATCTCAGGAATGCATGCATGGCGAAACTCATTGTGCAAACTTTGCTGACATCAAGGCACAAAAATGCCTACAAATATAATCATTTATCATGACCTACAGGACTAATAAGGTCCAAATTGTCCTTAAACTCCTGCTTTAAGGTCCATACATACCTCTAAAGAAAAATCCACTACAGTGTGCTCAGTCCTCTCTTGCTGAGTCGCACTCAGACGCACCCAGAAGAGTCGCACTCTTCTGCAGAGTTTTCTCCTTCTAATGACACTTGCCTTTTCAAACCTATACTGTTGTCAGTAAATTCTTCTTACCACCTGTGAACCAACCACTTTCCACTGCCAGGGCTCTAACATCTCACCCTGCAGAGTTGTTCACATTTACGGCTTTTAGCCCAAGGGCAGTCAATGCTGCATAAGATAAAACTCTGATAGAAAATTGCAGTGACAAGTGTAACCACTTTAAAATGGCAGGGAAACCTGAAAAAGAGAAAGCTAGAGAGAAAAAGCCATGAACTGGGCAACATACACTCTGCCCTAATTCTGGTTGCCCCAAGCCCTGCATGCATGGGGAAGACTTAATAAGCCCAGCCACAATAAAGAGCTGAAATAAGATTCAAGACAGAACGTCTCATTTGAGTAAAATCAACTTGATTACCTGTTAAAACAAAAACATCAACATGTTTAAGTAACAGATGCTACAGTCTTCACAACATTACATCCACCATGTCCAGATACAATCCCAAATAACTCTATGTCCAAAAAAAAAAACCAGAAAAATGAGTCCTAATCTAAAATATAACAGAATCAACTGAGACAAGTTTGGAATAGAACCAGATTAGTAAAAGATTTAAACAGGCACTTCACCAAAGGAGATACACAAATAACCAATAAGCTCATGAACACATGAATGTTCAACATCAGTAGTCGCTATGGAAGTGCAAAGTAAACCACAAGAGTTTCACATCATCCAGAATGCTGAAAATTAAAAAGATTGATAGCACCAAATATTCAAAAGAATGGGAAGTAAGTCTCTACATTCCCAGTAAGAATGTAAATGGTACAACCACGTTGGGAAAGGGGCTAACAATTTCTTATAAAACGAAGCATATACCATATACCTATAATTCATCAATTATGCTCCTATGTATGTACCCAATAGAAATGAAAATGTCTTCAGAAAGAGACTTATACAAGAATGTCCATTGCAGTCTTTTCATAATAGCCAATCACTGGAGATAACCCAAGTGCCAATCAATAAGCAAATGGGTTGACAAACTATGGTCTAATCATACAACAAAATACTACTCAGTATGGTGAAAAAAAAGGAATAAATTACTGATACATGCAACAATGTGAATGGATTTCAAAAACAATGCTAGATGGAAGAAGCCTTCAAAATAGAGTACATACTCAAGTTCTGAAATAGGTAAAAATAATCAGTGGTATTAAAATATCAGAAATGTGGTTGCCTTGGTATAGCTGCAGCACAATAATTAATATGTTTTAACCAGTGTGTTTAAGTATTTACATTTAATGTGAATATTTATGTTTGATTATTCATACTCATTTGGTGTTTGTTTTTAACATACTATGCTTTTTAATTTTTTTGACAAGTTTCCTGCCTTCTATTGAATTGATGAGATTTTATTTGCTTCCTTTTATTCCCTTGACTGCTTTAGGATTATTATATCCTATTTCTATTGTTGTTGTATTTCCCTTAAATTTTTATGATAGTTGTTTAACTTACCAAATTCTCTAGTTAATATCTCTGCAATCCTCCTGAATATTATAGAACTTTAAGATGTTTATATCTGATTTCTAACTGCCACATAGCCTTCCATGTTACTGATGTTTACATTTTCACCTTGTATTGTCCCCCAGTTTATTGCTATCTTTTTAAGTAAAATTAGTGACCACTTGGATTGACCCATATATTTGCCAATTTCTGTGCATACTATGATTTTTTTTCATGCCATGACTTTCATCTGGGTACAGTTTCTTTGGGGGGGCATTCTGTGTATGGTAAAAATCTCTTGGTCTAAAAGTATCTTTATTTGCCTTTCTCTCTTGAAAGATGGTCTAGTCTGGTATAGAATTGTAGGATTTCAGTTATCTTTCTTGAGCAATTTAAAAATAAGTTTCCTTTGGCTTTGGGTCCCTATTCTAATGGATGACACTTCTATTCTTTATTTTAAACTATTTGACAAAATAAATACTACGCATATTACATGATATTAAAACTTAATGGGATTATTCATCATTAAGAGGAGTCTGATCTTCATTGTTCTTATTTCTATTTGGATGCTTTCACACATTATTTTATTTAATCCTCAAAATAATCAGTATCTTCATTTTATACAGAAATAATAGTATATGGCCAGGCACAGTGACTCAAGCCTGTAATCCCAGCATTTTCGGAGGCCGAGGTGGGAGGATCACCTGAGGCCAGGGTTTGGAGACCAGCCTGGCCAACATGGTGAAACCCTGTCTCTAATAAAAATACAAAAATTAGCCAGGTGTGGTGGTATGTGCCTATAATCCCAGCTACTTGGGAGGCTGAGGCAGGAGAATCACTTGAACCTGGGAGGCAGAGGTTGCAGTGAGCTGAGATCACACCATTGCACTCCAGCCTGGGTGACAAGAGTGAAACTCTGTCTCAAAAAATAAATAAATAAATAAATAGGTGGTGGCTGGCAAGATGGCCAAATAGGAACAGCTCCGGTCTGCAGCTCCCAGCAAGATCAACGCAGAAGGCGGGTGATTTCTGCATTTCCAACTGAGGTACCCAGCTCATCTCACTGTGACTGGTTAGACAGTGGGTGCAGGCTACAGAGGGCTAGCCAAAGCAGGGTAGGGCGTCACCTCACCCAGGGGTCAGGGAATTCCCTCCCCTAGCCAAGAGAACCTATGAGGGACTGTGCCCTAAGCAACAGTGCCCTCCAGCCCAGATAATATGCTTTTCCCATGGTCTTCACAAGCCACAGACCAGGAGATTCCCTTGGGTGCCTACGCCAACTAAGGGCCTGAGTTTCAAGCACAAAACTGGGCAGCCATTTGGGCAGACACCGAGCTAGCTGCAGGAGTTTTTTTTCATAACCCAGTGGTGCCTGAAACGCCAGCATGACAGAACCGTTCACTCTCCTAGAAAGGGGTCTAAAGCCAGGGAGCCAAGTAGTCTAGCTCACTGGATTCCACCCCCATGGAGCCCAGTAAGCTAAGATCCGCTGGCTTGAAATGTTTGCTGCCAGTACAGCAGTCTCAAGTCGACCTGGGACGCTCAAGCTTGGCTGGGGGTGAGGCATCCGCCATTACTGAGGCTTGAGTAGGTGGTTTTCCCTTCACAGTGTAAACAAAGCCACCAGCAATTCAAACTGGGTGGAGCCCACTGCAGCTCGGCAAAGCCACTGTAGCCAGATTGCCTCTCTAGATTCCACCTCTCTGGGTAGGGCATCTCTGAAAGAAAGGCAGCAGACCCAGTCAGGTGCTTATAGATAAAACTTCTGTCTCCCTGGGACAGAGCACCTGGGGGAAGGGGCAGCTGTGGGCACAGCTTCAGCAGACTTAAATGTTCCTGCCTGTGGGCTCTGAAGAGAAGAGTGGATCTCCCCGCACAGTACTCGAGCTCTGCTAAGGGACAGACTGCCTCCTCAAGTGGGTCCCTGACCCCTGTGCCTCCTGACTGGGAGACATCTCCTAGCAGGGGTCAACAGACACCTCATACAGGAGAGCTCTGGCTGGCATCTGGCAGGTGCCCCTCTGGGAAGAAGCTTCCAGAGGAAGGAACAGGCAGCAATCTTTGCTGTTCTGCAGCCTCCACTGGTGATAACCAGGCAAACAGAATCTGGAGTGGACCTCCAGCAAACTCCAGCAGACCTGGAGCAGAGGAGCCTCACTGTTAGAAGGAAAACTAACAAACAAAGGAATAGCATCAACATCAGCAAAAAGGACATCTACACAGAAACCCCATCTGAAGGTCACCAACATCAAAGACCAAAAGTAGATAAATCCACAAAGATGAAGAAAAACCAACCCAAAAAGGCTGAAAATTCCAAAAACCAGAAGGCCTCTTCTCCTCCAAAGGATCACAACTCCTCACAAGCAAGGGAACAAAACTAGACAGAGAATGAGTTTGATGAATTGACAGAAGTAAGCTTCAGAAGGTGGGTAATAACAAACTCCTCTGAGCTAAAGGAGCAAGTTCTAACCCAATGCAAGGAAGCTAAGAACCTTGAAAAAAGTTAGAGGAATTGCTAACTAGAATAATCAGTTTAGATGAGAATATAAATGACAGAGCTGAAAAACACAGCACGAGAACTTCGTGAAGCATACACAAGTATCAATGGCCAAATCAATCAAGCAGAAGAAAGGATATCAGAGATTGAAGATCAACTTGATAAAATAAAGCATGAAGACAACATTAGAGAAAAAAGAGTGAAAAGGAATGAACAAAGCCTCCAAGATACATGGGACTATGTGAAAAGACCAAACCTGTGTTTGATTGGTGTACCTGAAAGTGATGGGGAGAATGGAACCAAATTGGAAAACACCCTTCACGATATCATCCAGGAGAACTTCCCCAACCCAGCAAGACAGGCCAACATTCAAATTCAGGAAATACAAAGAACACCACAAAGATATTTCTTGAGAACAGCAACCCCAAGATGCATAATCATCAGATTCACCAAGGTTGAAATGAAGGAAAAAATGTTAAGGGAAGCCAGAGGGAAAGGTTGGGTTACCCACAAAGGGAAGCCCATCAGACTAACAGCGGATATCTCTGCAGAAATCCTACAAGCCTGAAGACAGTGGGAGACAATATTCAACATTCTTAAAGAAAATAATTTTCAACCCAGAATTTCATATCCAGCCAAACTAAGCTTCATAAGCGAAGGAGAAATAAAATCCTTTACAGACAACCAAATGCTAAGAGATTTTGTCACCACCAGACCTGCCTTACAATTGCTCCTGAAGGAAGCACTAAACATGGAAAGAACAATCAGCATCAGCCACTGCAAAAACATACCAAATTGTAAAGACCATCGACACCATGAAGAAGCTGCATCAACTAACGGGCAAAATAACCAGCTAGGATCATAATGACAGGATCAAATTCACACATAACAATATTAACCTTAAATGTAAATGGGCTAAATCCCCCAATTAAAAGGCATAGAGTGGCAAAATTGGATAAAGAGTCAAGACCCATCAGTGTGCTGTATTCAGGAGACCCATCTCACATGCAAAGACACAAATAGGTTCAAAATAAAGGGATGGAGGAAGATTTACCAAGCAAATGGAAAGCAAAAAAAAAAAAAAAAAGCAGGGGTTGCAGTCCTAGTCTCTCATAAAACAGACTTTAAACTAACAAATATCAAAAAAGACAAAGAAATGCATTACATAATGGTAAAGGGATCAATGCAACAAGAAGAGTAACTATCCTAAATATATATGCACTCAAAACAGGAGTACCCAGATTCATAAAGCAAGTTCTTAGAGACTTATAAAGAGACTTAGACTCCCACACAATAATAGTGGGAGACTTTAACACCCCACTGTCAGTATTAGACAGATCAACGAGACAAAAAATTAACAAGGATATTCAGGACTTGAACTCAGCTCAGAACCAAGCAAACCTAATAGACATCCATAGAACTCTCCACCCCAAATCAACAGAATATATATTCTTCTCAGTGCCACATTGCACTTATTCTAAAATTGACCACATAATTGGAAGTAAATAACTCCTCAGCAAATGCAAAAGAACAGAAATCATAACAAACAGTCTCTCAGACCACAGTGCAATCAAATTAGAACTCAGGATTAAGAAACTCACTCAAAACCACACAACTACATGGAAACTGAACAAATTGCTCCTGAATGACTACTGGGCAAATAACGAAATTAAGGCAGATATAAGTAAGTTCTTTGAAACCAATGAGAACAAAGACACAACATACCAGAATCTCTGGGACAGATCTAAAGCAGTGTTTAGAGGGAAATTTATAGCACTAAATGCCCACAGGAGAAAGCAGGAAGGATCCAAAAATCAACACTCTAACATCACAATTAAAAGAACTAAAGAAGCAAGAGCAAACAAATTCAAAAGCTAGCAGAAGACAAGAAATCAGAGCAGAACTGAAGGAGACAGAGACACGAAAAACCCTTCAAAAAAATCAATGGGACCAGAGCTGCTTTTCTGAAAAGATTAACAAGAAAGATAGACCACTAGCCAGATTAATAAAGAAGAAAAGAGAGGAGAATCAAATAGACATAATAAAAAATGATAAAGGGGATATCACCACCGATCCCACAGAAATACAAACTACCATCAGAGAATACTATAAACACCTCTACGCAAATAAACTAGAAAATCTAGAAAAAATGGATAAATTCCTGGACACATACACCCTCCCAAGACTAAACCAGGAAGAAGTCATATCCCTGAATAGACTGATAAGTTCTGAAATTGAGGGAGTAATTAATAGCCTACCAACCAAAAAAAGTCCAGGACCAGAGGGATTCACAGCCGAATTCTACCAGAGGTAAAAAGAGAAGCTGGTATCATTCCTTCTGAAACTATTTCAAACAACAGAAACAGATAGACTCCTCCCTAACTCATTTTATGAGGCCAGCATCATCCTGATGCCAATACTTGGCAGAGACACAACAAAAAAAGAAACTTTCAGGCCAATATCCCTGATGAACATTGGTGCAAAAATCCTCAATAAAATACTGGCAAACCGAATCCAGCAGCACATCAAAAAGCTTATCCACAATGATCAAATCGGCTTCATCCCTGGGATGCAAGGCTGGTTCCACATACACAAATCAATAAACATAATCCATCACATAAACAGAACGAATGACAAAAACCACGATCATCTCGATAGATACAGAAAAGGCCGTGGATAAAATTCAGCATCTCCTCATGTTAAAAACTCTCAATAAACTTTGTATTGATGGAATGTACCTCAAAATAATAAGAGCCCTTTATTAGAAACCCACAGCCAACATCATACTGAATGAACAAAAGCTAGAAGCATTCCCTTTGAAAACCAGCACAAGACAAGGATGCCCTCTCTTACCACTCCTGTTCAACATAGTATTGGAAATTCTGGCCCGGGCAATCAACCAAGAGAAAGAAATAAAGGGTATTCAAATAGGAAAAGAGGAAGTCAAATTGTCTCTGTTTGCAGATGACATGATTGTCTATTTAGAAAACCCCCTCGTCCCAGCCCAAAATCTCCTTAAGCTGATAAGCAACTTCAGCAAAATCTCAGGCTACAAAATCAATGTGCAAAAATCACAAGCATTCTTATACACCAAAAATAGACAAACAGAGAGCCAAATCATGAGTGAACTCCCATTAACAATTACTACAAAGAGAATAAAATACCTAGGAATACAACTTACAAGGGATGTGAAAGACCTCTTCAAGGAGAACTACAAACCACTGCTCAAGGAAATAAGAGAAGACAGAAGCAAATGGAAAAACATTCCATGCTCATAGACAGAAACAATCAATATTGTGAAAATGGCCATACTGCCCAAAGTAATTTATAGATTCAATGCCATCCCCATCAAGCTACCTTTGACTTTCTTCACAGAATTAGAAAAAACTACTTTAAATTTCATGTGGAACCGAAAAAGAGCCCATATAGCCAAGAGAATCCTAAGCAAAATGAACAAAGCTAGAGTCATCATGCTACCTGACTTCAAACTATATTACAAGACTACAGTAACCAAAACAGCATGGTACTGGTACCAAAACAGATATATAGACCAATGGAACAGAAGAGAGGCCTCAGAAATAACACCACACATCTACAACCATCTGATCTTTGACAAACCTGACAAAAACAAGCAATGAGGAAAGGATTCCCTATTTAATAAATGGTGCTGGGAAAACTGGCTAGCCATATGCAGAAAACTGAAACTAGACCCCTTCCTTAAACCTTATACGAAAATTAACTCAAGATGAACTAAAGATTTAAATGTAAGACCTAAAACCATAAAAACTCTAGAAGAAAACCTATGCAATACGATTCAGGACATAGACATGGGCAAAGGCTTCATGACTAAAACACCGAAAGCAATGGCAACAAAGGCCAAAATTGACAACTGGGATCTAATTAAACTAAAGAGCTTCTGCACAGCAAAAGAAACTATCATCAGAGTGAACAGGCAACCTACAGAATGGGAGAAAATTTTTGCTATCTATCCATCTGACAAAGGGCTAATATCCAGAATCTACAAACAACTTAAACAAATTTATGAGAAGAAAACAACCCCATCAAAAAGTGGGTGAAGGATATGAACAGACACTTCTCAAAAGAAGACATTTATGTGGCCAAGAAACATATGAAAAAAAGCTCATCATCACTGGTCTTTAGAGAAATTATACATATACTCAAGCAAAAAGCAATAAATTGACAAAGATTGACCATGAGATAATAGAGATGATGCAATGAGCACAGAATTTTCAAGTGGATATTATAGCTATGCTCAAGAACTTTTTAAATGTTCATATGAATAAACAAATACGAAATCTTAACAAAGAAAAACCAAACTATAAAAAAGGACCAACTGAAAATTCTAGAAAAAGTGCAATATCTACTATTTTTAAAAAATTGGAGAGTTTAACAACAGAGTAAAGATGGCATAAGAAAAAAATCAGTATAAGTAAAAGTAGATCAAGACTAGTTATGCAATTAAAAAACAGAGGAATAAAAAGACTTTCCAGAATTGCCTGTACAACAGTAATCTCCTTTCTGCCTTGAAAAACCTGGATTTTTTTTTTAACTATCAGGCAGCATCATATTCAGGAATGGTGGGACCAGAGAAGCATGACATTTTGGATTAACATGGTAACATCATCTCCTTTATAACTGATATTTTAGAGGTAGGCATATGACCTAGTTCTGGAAAATGAGAATGAGAATGAATGAGCTGGGGCTTCTGGGAATGTTTCTCGCCCTGAAAAACAGCAATAAACAGGTACATGACCTATGTTCCTGCCTCTTGAAGTGTAAGGATTTGATTTCCGGAGCTGCAAGCATACCAATAATAGCCAGGAAAAAGGAGAAAAATAAAAACAGCAAAAGCCTTGTGTCCTTGATGACTTTTCTGAACCTTGAAACCACCAAACTATGGACTTCTTACTATGTGAGATAATAAATACTTCATCATACAATACACATTAAGGTTGCATTTTCTCTAAATTGTATCAAACGGAATCCTTGCTAAACAGCAAAACTTACTCAAGGCCTACTTCCCTAAGAGTTCACTGAGTCCCATGATCAGATAAGGTAACAACTTCTTCCTTTGAGCCAGGACTTTTTCTTTTGAACACATGCCCTACTTGGTCTTGAATAGTCATGGTTTGCCCTTTTCCAGCATAATTATTAATTGCATTCCCTTTTACTCTAAAAAAAACTGCATTTGGAGGAAACTTTTAAAATCCCCATATCTATTTTATTTTGACCCTTCTAATAGTTTCATTTTAGATTATCTTCTGCTTATTTATATACTCCCCACTAAATGACAGGGCAAGAACTTATATTTTTTGTTGTATATTTTTTATTTTTATTTTTATTTTATTTTATTTTTATTTTATATTTTTTATTGTTGTATATCCCCACAACAATGAGTGAACATATTTGGCATCAAAATTTAGCAAAAGGTCTGTCACATAGTTGAATATTAAAAGAAAAGGTAAATAGAACTGAAACAGAAATGATACATATTCCATATAATTCAACCACAATTGTTACTCTTTTCAAATTATAGGTTCCATCCTCTTATTTCATAGTATATTTACTATAGACGCGCTGATGTTTTCACGAAAGTGAATGTTCTCCTAACTAAGGCCTACACAATTGCACAAGTGCTGGAAAAACATAAGTGGGATAGAACTAAAACACTAGAATCTGGAGTTGGCACAGCAGGGTCAGGGGCCAGAAGAAGACAGAAGATAAGGAGTTAGAGGAGCTGGTTAAGAAGCCATGGCAGGAGTGTGTCCATTCCCTTGAGGTTGTGCATCCACAACTTTGATTATTACACCCTTATGTCTGCTTCATCCCACTAAGAAAAAAACGTACATCACACTCATTTTCCATTCTATAAGAAGGACATTATGAGAATTTCTGACAATGAGAATTGGCTTTTATTCATAGAGAATTAGAATAAATGGAATCTCTGAGTCCAGTCTTCCAACAGTGTCTTACCTTCAAAAAGTCAAAGAAAAGTATAAAAGTATAAAAGAATTCTCATAGTCTGAGAATGCAATAGAAAACTGTTTCACTTCCACTTGTTACATGTGTTTTTACCCTCTCCATTTTCGTTTTTAAAATATTATAACATTTATTCAAATTGCTTAATAAAATGAGAAAACACATACAACATAATGTTAATTTTAACAGCAGGTTATAAAAAAGAATATGCAGTCTGCTTTTAAAGTTTTTTTGTTTTGTTTTGTTTTGTTTTTTGAGATGGAGTCTCACTCTGTCGCCAGGCTGGAGTGCAGTCGTACGATCTTGGCTCACTGCAACCTCTCCCTCCCAGGTTCAAGCGATTCTCCTGCCTCAGCCTCCCAAGAAGTTGGGATCACAGGCATGTGCCACCACACTCGGCTAATTTTTTGTATTTAGTAGAGACAGTTTCACCATGTTGGCCAGGATGGTCTCGATCTCCTGACCTCGTGATCCACCCGCCTTGGCCTCCCAAAGTGCTGGGATTACAGGCATGAGCCACCACGCCCAGCCTAAGTTTTTATTATAGGTAGTATATGCATAAAAAAAGTCAAAATATCAATAGTTATATCTGAAATTATGGGTGACTTTCATTTCCTCCTTTGGGCTTTTCTGAATGTCCCAAATTTTCTACAATGAATATGTGTTATTTCTATAATCAGGAAAAAATGAATTCAAAGTTAAAGAAAAATTGCTGTTTAATAAGTAAGGTACCCTTAGGTCTTTGAGACATTATTCTTAATGTATCTAAAAGTTGCCACCTTCATCGAGACTTAGTGATTCAACTTTAAATCACTGGTGGGATTACACAGTCTCTTAGATGAAAACAAGGGAGGATTTAAATTGGCTACTAGAGCTACTGGTGGGTCCTCTGGAAAAACTTAGGGCCCAGAGGTTAGAGAGTACTTAGGTCGATGCAGATTGATTTACTATTGATTCATACTTGTGACATGAATTTCTACTGGGGATGAAAGCTTTATTTTCAGTCTGCCCCCTCACCGCTACTAACAGTCATCTGGAACTGAGGGATAGTTGCCTATGGTTTCTACAGCAAGACTGTAGTACAGAGAGAAAGTCGCTATGACTCAAACAAATCTGAAGACGAACAGCCACAGTGACTTCTGTATATAGACAGAAAAAGATAGTGACACACTAGAGAAAAAGAATGCTGAAGAGAAATGTCTGTGCTTATGTCTACAATGGCTTTGTTGTTTTGAAGACTGAAGTTGCAATAAGCCATGTTATTTATTGTACATGGCAAATTTGAGGATTTCTACACTGATGCCTAAATAAGGACAATTAGAGCAGAGTTTATTTTCAGAAAGGAGAGGGAATATGTGAACTAGGAATTAGGAATGATTATTTTATTTGAAAAGTTTGGAATATAACAGTGAAAAAAAATCAAGGGAAATAAGGTATTACTGGATGAAGAAAATACTTGGATACTTATGCAGATCACTTTAAATTAGTTTTTCTCACCATGAAAAATCAAAGAATAGCAGCCTTAGGAGTTTGGATTAAACTAACATTACGTATTTGTACTGCCTTTGTGCCAAGACCTTTCGGGTATGTTATGTTAATCCTCACAACAACCCTACAAAGTACATACCGTTACCTCATTGTACATCATTGTCACTTCCAAGAAGACTGCTCTTTCCATTAAAACATAGTACTTCTCCATAAAGATGCCTTACTAGCAGGAAGAACAAAGGCGTAAGAGAAATGGATCACAGTGGGCTTCCATGGTGCAGCCCTAGAAATGATTAGAACATAATATCCTGATGTGTTAATAAATCCCAGAGGCATCCCCACCACTCAGATAGAGACTCCTACGACAGAAGAGCTTAAAGCTTCGTTTGTATTCCTAGCAATGTTAGTGAAAAAACACAGAATAATCTTAAGGCTGTGTAAAGAAAGGAAAAGAAGACTTAATTTTAACTCACCCAGTATTGCTTATTATCAACTCCTTTCAGGGCTCCTAGAGAGTCATTTATTTGGACAAGCATTGGGGATCTCCTTGTTCTTCTCATATTGTGAAGAGCAAAGGTGTTTATAAACGGTAGGAAAAATCTGGATGAAGCAGGATATAGATGTAATATTTAGTGCTGAAATTCCCTCCTGAAGAAACCTTTCCTGCTGGGTGTAACATATCCTGCTTCAAAAGGTTCCTTGGGTTAAAATCAGGCAAACTGGGTGAGTGCTCATGTTTTACAACTACTCTCTCCTACTAGTAAACATGGGAGAAGAAGGGTGAATGTTTCACAATCCACAGTTCTCAAATGAGAACTTTCTTCCCATAGGTGATGCCCAATACTGAGAACCGATCTATGATGGAGCCTTTGGGGAGAGAAGAATAAAACCTGGAGAATCAACAAACTGAAATTCTACATTTTTATAACAAAGAAAAAAGCAGAGGTAACAGAAGCCCCTGATGTTTCCCTAGGCTCCCTCCCACCCACCAGGCATCGCCTCTATCTTTTTTTTTTCTTGTGTGATACTGCCGGATGCTCTACAGTGCTTCCTATCAGCACTGCTAAGCTTGATCACATTCTAAATGGTGGGTTCTAGAATCTTTTTGCAATAACTGAGGCTGTATCAGTATGTCTGATGATGGTGGATATAAGTGTTAGATCGATTGGTGGACATAAGAACACTAAATGGCATTGAATTAATCTATGTAATATGATAGAACATAAAGCCCCACTCCAATTTCCTGTCCATTGTCTGTTTTATTCCCTACTTGGTTTTTAGAGAAAACTGTCCATTCTACACATTCTTGCCACAATTATCTTCCAAGAAAAATGTGAAAATACTATTTCTGATACATATAGTAATAAAATATAGGTTAATTTAAAATTGTTCGGAAAATATGGAGAAGATAAATTATTAGTGCCCTAAGTCTCACATTCCAGAGAAAACCACAGTTAACATTTTGGTGTCATTTCTTCAGACACATAAGTACAAAATTGCAATCATTTATATTATTAGAAACTTCTTTTTTGTAATATTATATATGTGCATTGTCCCTTTTCCTTATTCTTCTCCAAGGCTACAATTTGCAATGGTGGTAGTCTCTGACAGATTAAATAGTCTCACATGTATACCATGCCCATCACACGCCAGAAAGTCAGCATTCTAGAAGAAAAACTTATAGCTGTTAAAGCATGATTGAACGTGAAATATGATAGTACATGCAATGATATTTTTTCTATTGTTGGATCATTCAGGGGAAGATGTTATATAATAATGCATTTTTGAATGACTTTTAGGAAAATGCCTCCAGTTTCTCACCATTTGTAATTATACTGACCAACTGTTAAAGAGAAATAATCTTCATTATCTTAATGAATTATCCTCCTAAGCTTAGATTACTGAGACATTTTACTAAGAGTGAATGTTGTATTCTATCAAATGCTTTTTGGCATCTAGTTAGGTAACAATGCATTTTACTTTTGTTACCTATTTGCTTCATATATTGATAGATTTCTAACTTGGAATTCCTTGTATTAATAAAAACAAATGACATTATTTTACTATACAGTTTGGATGTACTCTGTATTTCTGTACATGTATTTCATAAGTTGGATTGATCGTAGTTTTATTGAGAGTTTTCAGTAAAAGGCTATCTTAGGTTGATAAAATAATTTGCAAACTGTACTATTAACTTTTTTTACATGAGAATAAGTTACATAGCACATAAATTATTTGTTTCTTATAAGTATAAAATAATTATCAAAACCATTCTTTACCCAGTGTCCATTTTGGGAGTGTAGTACTCACAGTGGGATCCCTATCAGGTATCACACAGTATATATGGCATAGTATGTGTTCAATAAACGAGTAAGTGGAGGTTGCTGTGGGGGCTAAAAGCACATCGTAGGGGCATCCTACTCAAAGAGGTGAAAAAGTTTTCCTAGAAAATATCTAAATTGAGAGAAGTCCTTCCAGCTTAAGAAAACAGCATGTACAAATGAATGGAGAAAAAAGGCACTATTTGGGGGAGGGAAAAAGAAACTCAGCATGCTCATTGCAGAGCATCGGGGGTGTCAGTAGGAACTTTGGAATTTCTACATTAGAGGGGCCTAGGGATGACAGTGTGGTCGGATGATGGGCTAGAGGGCTTTTCTTGAAGTTGTGTTGCATAGCAGACATACTGTTTTTCCTAAGACTGTATTTCTCTGCTTATGTGTCTTTTGTGGGGAAGCTGGTGAATATTATTGAGAAGCAAACCCACTCAATAACGCCTTCCTTGACATTATCATGGGAGAAGAAATGGCTGAAGTGGGGAAAAAAAAAGGGAACTGAGGGAGTTGAGACAGGTTTTTGTGATAGGTTAATGGTTTTTTTGTGAAGTTATTCTTTGTCTTCTCTTATTCACCCTTAATTCTGGAAAAATATGCTCCCTTACCTGGGACCCTTTTTGAACAGAGAAAATGACAGTCATTTCTTCTTCACCCCTTTCTCCTCAACAATCTCACTCTAGGATAGAAGTATTAAGTTTAGCACACTTTCTTTAACAGTAAAAATGACCCCTTTTCCTTCTCCTTCTTCTTTTCTCCTTCTCTCCCTTCATAACAACTATCTTCCAACAAATTGAAACTTCTGCCTTAACTGATTTCTTTGTGGAAATAAGTCCATGTGCCAATGTGACTAGAAACAGGAAAGGATGTGTGGAAGAAGGAAATATTTTCTAATATACTAAGATAGTGGTACCAACATCTTTTTTCACTCTATTTTCTAATATACTAAGATAGTGGTACCAACATCTTTTTTCAACTTTACTAAAATCATTGTTCAGATGATATTCTCTAAGAGGAAGAGAAATGATATGGAAAAGGAATGAAAAGGAAATAATTTTCCTGTATTTTCCCTTATAGGAAGATAGGAACGCTGCTGTCTATTTTCAGACAAGAAATAAGCCCCTCATCCATGTCTTCAAGCTCTTTGGATACAGAAAGGCCAGAGAAAATGCGTGGTTTGGGGCAAGGATATGATCAGCAAGAAACATTTTCATTTACCACCAACGCCCAGGGAACTCTAGCTATGACAGAGATAGTCTAACAAAGTTACACACATACTATATAAAGTATCCTTTATATAAGTAAGTCAATACTTTTCTTGGGCACCTAACAGAATAAATATGAAACAACTACAGGATGGCTGAGTTTTTAATGACATGGGGCTAAAGTTGTAAGTAGGCAGAACTAGCAAAACATGAGTTGGGATGAAAAAGGTAGAAAAAGCACATATTAGGACAATTAAAGATCCTGAAATGCATATTGATTTGCAGAGTAAAAACAAAGGCTAGAGGATTCCAGGTGTGTGGCTGGTAGAAGCAAATGTGATAGTAAGAAGACAGACTGGCAAAATGGATAAAGAGTCAAGACCCATCAGTGTGCTGTATTCAGGAAACCCATCTCAGGTGCAGAGACACACATAGGCTCAAAATAAAGGGATGGAGGAAGATCTAGCAAGCAAATGGAAAACAAAAAAAGGCAGGGGTTGCAATCCTAGTCTCTGATAAAACAGACTTTAAACCAACAAAGATCAAAAGACACAAAGAAGGCCATTACATAATGGTAAAGGGATCAATTCAACAAGAAGAGCTAACTATTCTAAATATATATGCACCCAATACAGGAGCACCCAGATTCATAAAGCAAGTCCTTAGAGACCTACAAAGAGACTTAGATTCCCACACAATAATAATGGGAGACTTTAACACCCCACTGTCAACATTAGACAGATCAACGAGACAGAAAGTTAACAAGGATATCCAGGAATTGAACTCAGCTCTGCACCAAGCGGACCTAATAGACATCTACAGAACTCTCCACCCCAAATCAACAGAATATACGTTCTTTTCAGCACCACATCACACCTATTCCAAAATTGACCACATAATTGGAAGTAAAGCACTCCTCAGCAAATGTAAAAGAACAGAAATTATAACAAACGGTCTCTCAGACCACAGTGCAATCAACCTGGAACTCAGGATTAAGAAACTCACTCAAAACCGCTCAACTACATGGAAACTGAACAACCTGCTCCTGAATGACTACTGGGTAAATAACCAAATGAAGGCAGAAATAAAGATGTGCTTTGAAACCAATGAGAACAAAGACACAACATACCAGAATCTCTGGGACACATTCAAAGCACTGTGTAGAGGGAAATTTATAGCACTAAATGCCCACAAGAGAAAGCAAGAAAGATAGAAAATTAACACCCTAACATCACAATTAAAAGAACTAGAGAAGCAAAAGCAAACACATTCAAAAGCTAGCAGAAGACAAGAAATAACTAGGATCAGAGTAGAACTGAAGGAGATAGAGACACAAAAAACCCTTCAAAAAATCAATGAATTCAGGAGCTGGTTTTTTGAAAAGATCAACAAAATTGATAGACGGCTAGCAAGACTAATAAAGAAGAAAAGAGATAAGAATCAAATAGACGCAATAAAAAATGATAAAGGGGATATCACCACCAATCCCACAGAAATACAAACTACCGTCAGAGAATACTATAAACACCTCTATGCAAATAAACCAGAAAATCTAAAAGAAATGGATAAATTCCTTGACACATACACCCTCCCAAGACTAAACCAGGAAGAAGTTGAATCCCTGAATAGACCAATAACAGGCTCTGAAATTGAGGCAATAATTAATAGCTTATCAACCAAAAAAAGTCCAGGACCAGAGGGATTCACAGCTGAATTCTACCAGAGGTACAAGGAGGAGCTAATACCATTCCTTCTGAAACTATTCCAATCAATAGAAAAAGAGTGAATCCTCCCTAACTCATTTTATGAGGCCAGCATCATCCTGATACCAAAGCCTCACAGAGACACAACCAAAAAAGAGAATTTTAGATCAATATCCCTGATGAACATCGATGCAAAAATCCTCAATAAAATACTGGCAAACCGAATCCAGCAGCACATCAAAAAGCTTATCCACCATGATCAAGTGGGCTTCATCCCTGGGATGCAAGGCTGGTTGAACATATGCAAATCAATAAATGTAATCCAGCATATAAACAGAACCAAAGACAAAAACCACATGATTATCTCAATAGATGCAGAAAAGGCCTTTGACAAAATTCAACAGCCCTTCATGCTAAAAACTCTCAATAAATTAGGTATTGATGGGACATATCTCAAAATAATAAGAGCTATTTATGACAAACACACAGCCAATATCATACTGAATGGGCAAAAACTGGAAGCATTCCCTTTGAAAACTGGCACAAGACAGGGATGCCCGCTCTCACCACTCCTATTCAACATAGTGTTGGAAGTTCTGGCCAGGGCAATTAGGCAGGAGAAAGAAATAAAGGGTATTCAATTAGGAAAAGAGGAAGTCAAGTTGTCCCTGTTTGCAGATGACATGATTGTATATCTAGAAAACCCCATTGTCTCAGCCCAAAATCTCCTTAAGCTGATAAGCAACTTCAGCAAAGTCTCAGGATACAAAATCAACGTGCAAAAATCACAAGCATTCTTATACACCAATAACAGACAAACAGAGAGCCAAATCATGAGTGAACTCCCATTCACAATTGCTTCAAAGACAATAAAATACCTAGGAATCCAACTTACAAGGGATGTGAAGGACCTCTTCAAGGAGAACTACAGACCACTGCTCAATGAAATAAAAGAGGATACAAAGAAATGGAAGAATATTCCATGCTCATGGGTAGGAAGAATCAATATCGTGAAAATGGCCATACTGCCCAAGGTAATTTATAGATTCAATGGCATCCCCATCAAGCTACAAATGGCTTTCTTCATAGAATTGGAAAAAACTACTTTAAAGTTCATATGGAACCAAAAAAGAGCCCGCATCGCCAAGTCAATCCTAAGCCAAAAGAACAAAGCTGGAGGCATCACGCTACCTGACTTCAAACTATACTACAAGGCTACAGTAACCAAAACAGCATGGTACTGGTACCAAACAGAGATATAGACCAATGGAACAGAACAGAGCCCTCAGAAATAATGCCACATACCTACAACTATCTGATCTTTGACAAACCTGAGAAAAACAAGCAATGGGGAAAGGATTCCCTATTTAATAAATGGTGCTGGGAAAACTGGCTAGCCATATGTAGAAAGCTGAAACTGGATCCCTTCCTTACGCCTTATACAAAAACTAATTCAGGATGGATTAAAGACTTAAATGTTAGACCTAAAACCATAAAAACCATAGAAGAAAACCTAGGCTTTACCATTCAGGACACAGGCACGGGCAAGGACTTCATGTCTAAAACACCAAAAGCAATGGCAACAAAAGCCAAAATTGACAAATGGGATCTACTAAAACTAAAGAGCTTCTGCACAGCAAAAGAAACTACCATCACAGTGAACAGGCAACCTATAGAATGGGAGAAAATTTTTGCAACCTACTCATCTGACAAAGGGCTAATATCCAGAATCTACAAAGAACTCAAACAAATTTACAAGAAAAAAAAAAAAAAAAACCCATCAAAAAGTGGGCAAAGGATATGAACAGACACTTTTCAAAAGAAGACATTTATGCAGCCAAAAGACACATGAAAAAAATGCTCATCATCACTGGCCATCAGAGAAATGCAAATCAAAACCACAATGAGATACCATCTCACACCAGTTAGAATGGCAATCATTAAAAAGTCAGGAAACAACAGGTGCTGGAGAAGATGTGGAGAAATAGGAACACTTTTACACTGTTGGTGGGACTGTAAACTAGTTCAACCATTGTGGAAGTCAGTGTGGCGATTCCTCAGGGAACTAGAACTAGAAATATCATTTGACCCAGCAATCCCATTACTGGGTATATACCCAAAGGATTATAAATCATGCTGCTATAAAGACACATGTACACATATTTATTGCAGCACTATTCACAATAGCAAAGACTTGGAACCAACCCAAATGTCCAACAATGATAGACTTGATTAAGAAAATGTGGCACATATACACCATGGAATACTATGCAGCCATAAAAAATGATGCGTTCATGTCCTTTGTAGGGACATGGATGAAGCTGGAAACCATCATTCTCAGCAAACTATCACAAGGACAAAAAACCAAACACCGCATATTCTCACTCATAGGTGGGAACTGAACAATCAGAACACATGGTCACAGGAAGGGGAACATCACACACCGGGGCCTGTTGTGGGGTGGGGGAAGGGGAAGGGATAGCATTAGGAGATATACCTAATGTTAAATGACGAGTTAATGGGTGCAGTACACCAACACAGCACATGTATACATATGTAACAGACCTGCACATTGTGCACATGTACCCTAAAACTTAACGTATAATTTTAAAAAAAAAGAATTCTCACGTCATTGTTCTTGATTATGCTAATTCTCATAATTGTGAAATTGCCTGCTACATGTAGACAACCGAAAAGACCACATTCCAGCCGGGCGTGGTGGCTCATGCCTGTAATCCCAGCACTTTGGGAGGCCGAGGTGGGCGGATCACGAGGTCAGGAGATCGAGACCATCCTGGCTAACATGGTGAAACCTCGTCTCTACCCAAAATACAAAAAAATTTAGCTGGGCATGATGGCGGGCACCTGTAATCCCAGCTACTTGGGAGGCTGAGGCAAGACAATGGCGTGAACCCGGGAGGCGGAGCTTGCAGTGAGCCGAGATCACGCCACTGCACTCCAGCCTGGATGACAGAGCGAGACTCCGTCTCAAAAACACACACACACACACACACACACACACACACACACACATTCCAAAGGCTACAAGAAATAAAAGGCTGTGATCCAGCTTTCAGAGTTTACTAGTATATCATGTGTAATCAGAAATAAAACAAGCAAGTGATGCTTGCTATGTAAGTTTAACACAGCAAGAAATATTTCTGTAATTGTCTCTTGCTTAGAATCAGTGTAGGAATCTCTGAGAAGCACTGTGGTCTAATGGGTAAAAGGGTTGACTCTGGAGCCAGGCAACTGAATATTGGAATTTGGCTTTGGGATATATTATCTCTGTGACCTTGTAAAAGTTACTTAAACTTTTCTTTGTCTCTGTTTCGTCTCCGTAAAATGGGAGTTAAATATGGTATCTATGTCAGTGAGTTGCACTGAAGACTGATTAATACATTCAATGAGCTTACAGCACTGAAATGTGCTTACAAAAAAAGTGCTCAATAAAAATTAGCCATTGTCAATTCTGTCACACATGGAAGCTTCCTGGCCAAAATTTAAAACAGTATGGAAGATTTGGAGATGGGTCCAAAGCATTAAATACAAAAATCGAAAGAAAAGTATATATTAATAAGTACTCGTAAATGATATAAACTTGCCTGCAAAAGCATAAAATATGCATCTAAAAGGTAGAGAAAAAGGAATAGAGAATTTAGACCAATTGGAAAATTACAAAAGTTAAGAAGAAAGGTAATACTTGGTGACTAATATTAAAGGGTGAATTCCAGGCCCTAAAGAAAGCTGTACATAATAGCAGTCCAAGATCCTTAGTTCCTGGGAACTAAACACCAATGATTCCAGACTCTTAACTGGTTAGATGTCCCCTTTGGATCAGAAAATTGTTCATGTTCCATCAATTATGCTCCCAAATTTCAATTCCCTTGCCCTAAAATTTAAAAAAAAAAATGTTTTTTCCTCCTGACCCAGCCAAGTAGACTTAAAAGTTATGATTTATAATATCTATGAACATATATATACTTACTGCTATTTTGATTCAATCATAATCTCTTAATATATAATTTTAGATGACATGTTGGAACCACCTACTATACCTGCCACCTAATAGGTGTTATCTAAGTTAAATTTCACAATAAACTACCAAAGAGTTATAGCTTTCCTGCCATTTTCCTAGCTGAAACTGGTAGCTTAGCTAGCTTAGACTCAAAAATGTTAAGTAACTTGAAAGTCATAGTGAGGATAACCAGCATGGTTCCAAATCTCCATGATACTTTAAATTGGATACATCTTTATAAAAATAAAGCTTTATTTCAAAATATTCATCAATAGAGATTCTTAAGCACCCACCTTTGAAAGTAGTTTGTCCCTAAATATTATGTAATTAGAGGACTGGCACTTCCCATCATAGCCTCTGCTACTGTGTGATACTAAAAAGTATTGGGCCGGGCGCAGTGGCTCCCGCCTGTAATCCCAGCACTTTGAGAAACCAAGGCAGGCAGATCATGAGGTCAAGAGATGGAGACCATTCTGGCCAATGTGGTGAAACCTGTCTCTACTAAAAATACAAAAAATTAGCTGGGCATGGTGGTGTGCATCAGTAGTCTCAGCTACTCAGGAGGCTGAGGCAGGACAATCACTTGAACATGGGAGGCAGAGGTTGCAGTGAGTCAAGATTGTGCCACTGCACTCCAGCCTGGGTGACACAGCGAGAATCCATCTCAAAAAATAAAAAAAATTAAAAAATTAAATATTGATCTCAGTGCCTTTTTTATCATTAGCAAAATTAATAGCCCTGCTCTTGCTGATTCCAGAGCCTGTTCTAAGAATAAAACAAAATGATGAATATGAAAGTTATTTGATAACTCTACATCAAAAATTCAAATTTTCCTGTCTCATGTTCTTTTCTAAACTCTGCAGATGACATGAACACATGGAGACAACAAATCACTCTGCCGTGACTGAATTCTTTCTGGTGGGGCTTTCCCAATATCCAGAGCTCCAGCTTTTTCTGTTCCTGCTCTGCCTCATCATGTACATGATAATCCTCCTGGGAAATAGCTTCCTCATTATCATCACCATCTTGGATTCTCGCCTCCATACCCCCATGTATTTCTTTCTTGGAAACCTCTCATTCTTGGGCATCTGTTACACATCATCATCCATTCCTCCAATGCTTATTATATTTGTATCTGAGAGAAAATCCATCTCCTTCATTGGCTGTGCTCTGCAGATGGTTGTGTCCCTTGGCTTGGGCTCCATTGAGTGTATCCTCCTGGCTGTGATGGCCTATGACCGCTATGTGGCCATCTGCAACCCACTGAGGTACTCCATCATCATGAACAGAGTGCTGTATGTGCAAATGGCTGCATGGTCCTGGATCATAGGCTGTCTGACCTCCCTATTGCGAACAGTTCTGACAATGATGTTGCCTTTCTGTGGGAATAATATCATTGATCATCTTACCTGTGAGATCCTGGCTCTTCTTAAAGTCATATGCTCAGATATCTCCATAAATGTGTTTATAATGACAGTGTCAAGTATTGTTTTATTGGTGATTCCTCTTAATTTTTATCTCCTATGTGTTTATTCTCTCTTCCATCTTGAGAATTAATTCTGCTGAGGGAAGAAAGAAAGCCTTTTTTACCTGTTCAGCGCACTTGACTGTGGTCATCTTATTCTATGGTTCAGTTCTTTTCATGCACATGAAGCCCAAATCAAAGTTCACAACAGCATCTGATGAAATCATTGGATTGTCTTATGAAGTGATCACCCCAATGAACCCCATCATCTACAGCCTGAGGAATAAGGAGATAAAAGAAGCTGTGAAGAAAATCCTCAGCAGACACGTGCATCTATGGAAAATATGAAAGGCCTTGAGGCATGTGACGTTCTCAACAAGGGATCAGATCAGGTGTTTTGTATTCACAGATAAAGTCACAGAATCTGGTATCAAGAGAGTGTGTATGTTTGTAAAGACAACTTTGGGATTCCCATTCTTCTCATCACAGAATGCTCATGTACACCTTCTGAATAATGTCTTGTGTGCAGAGTTTCAAGCTGTAGGTATCTGTGCTCACTGATCCCATATAGGGATAAGGTTTTTCATCAAGATAAATCTCACTCTTCTCTACTCTTTATCTCTTTCTCTTTCTTACTCACTTTTCTCTCCCTCTTCTCCATGTCCTCCTCTTTCTTGACCTTCCTCCTCTTCCCTTCTTCATCTACTTCCTTTATCTTTCTTCTGTCTTCTTGGTCTCCTTTATCCGTCATTTTGAATAGAACATCTGTTGCTTTGTTGTACAGCATCACCTCTTCTGGTAAAATAATATATCTTTTTTTTATATATATATAACAACAGTCTATTCCTCTGAGTCCATGTGGTCTGCATGGGACTAACTCAATCTTCTGGATATAGTGGTAGATGCTAAACAAAAGCCTAGCAAATAAAAAAGCAAATTCATCTCGCTACAGTGGCTCATTCAGGGTAGCAACTGAGCCAAGTCAGGCTAATCAAACTCAACCCAAGAATGCTGTCCCAGTAGGGCGGGGGAAAAAGGCACTCTTTCCACTAGGGTTGCTTAACTGGAGAATTGTGAGCCTGGAGCCAATCTTTGGCAGTATGAGCAGAGAGCCTAACTGAGATGCAAAGGGGAGTTCAGAAGGAGAGAGAGGGTGTCTGATGCTGTTAACTCCTCGATTCAGCTGTGTCTAAAGTCATTTTCACATTCTTTTTAGTTCATGAGTCAATAAATTATCTTTATATGAAAAGCTAATTTTAACATGAGGGGCATCATGGCAGACGGGAGGCAAGACTAGATTGCAGCTCCAGACAGAGCAGCGTGCAGAAGCTTACATTGTGAATTTTAGCTCCAGATCAACTGCAAGAACAAACCAGCAATCCTGAGAGGACCCACAGATGCTCTGAAGGAAGCAGACTGCTCCTGCAGGACCCAGGAGACACCCCAAATACTGTGAGTACCCCAACTGCAGAAATGGGAAAGGGAGACCCTCCTCTCCCAAACACACATCCCCACTGGAGAAGGTGAAGGTTTGTTTGCAGGAGAAGTTTCTGACTTCTGGAAGTTTACCTGGAGCTGACCTCAGAGAGCCGAGTGAAATACAGAGGTAGAGGAAGCAGCAGAAAGGCCCTAGGAGTTCACTGGGTCCCCAAGCAGCCCATTCCTGCCTGGCACCACAGGGATCCATCAGGAGGGTAGACAGAGAAGCAGGGGTAAAATTCCACAGGGACAAGGAATTCTATATCTGACCTTTGTAACAATTTGAATGGGGCGAGAAGCCTCCTGGTCAGAACGCAGAGGGCGCGAATCAGGTGTGCAGACTTCACAGGCAGAGGAAGGACTAAAGCCCTTTTCTCTTGCAGCTGGGACGCAGATAGCCTCGGACAAGTTTTCAAGCCTGTCTCACCCTCTGCCTGGACACAGACTCGGGGCTGTTGAGGGTGGCTGGGGCAAGGTGGGAGTGAGAGTAGCCCTTCAGTTTGCGTGGGAGCTGGGTGACACCTGTGACTGACAGCCTTACCCACTTTCCTGACAACCTGTATGACTCAGCAGAGGCAGCCATAATCCTCCTAGGTACCCAACTCCAGTGACCTGGAAATCACCCCCAGCCCCCACAGCAGCTGCAGCAAGACCCACCCAAGGAGAGTCTGAGCTCAAATACGCCTCGCCCTGCACCCACCTGATGGTCCTTCCCTATCCACCCCGGTAGTGGAAGACAAAGAGCATATAATCTCAGGAGTTCTAGGGCCCCGCCCACCAACCATCCCTCTCCACACTACTACAGCTGATGCTTTCTGGAAAAATGCCACCTCCTGGCAGGAGGCCAACCAGCACAAAAATAGAGCATTAAACCACCAAAGCTAAGGACTCTCATGGAGTCCATTGCACCCTCTGCCCCTTCACCAGAACAGGCGCTGGTATACATGCCTGAGAGACCCATAGACAGTTCACATCACAGGACTTTGTGAGGACAACCCCCAGTACCAGCCCTAAGCTGGGTAGACTTGCGGGGTGGCTAGGCCCAGAAGAGAGACAACAATCAATGCAGTTTGGCTCACAGGAAGCCACATCCATTGGAAAAGGGGGAGAGTACTACATCAAGGGAACACTCCGTAGGACAAAAGAATGTGAACAACAGCCTTCAGCCCGAGACCTTCTCTCTGACAGAGCCTACCCAAATGGGAAGGAACCAGAAAACCAGCCCTGGTCATATGACAAAACAAGCCTCTTCAACACCCCCAAAAAATCACACTAGTTCACCAGCAATGGATCCAAACCAAGAATAAATTCCTGATTTACCGGAAAAAGAATTCAGGAGGTTAGTTATGAAGCTACTCAGGAAGGGACCAGAGAAAGGCGAAGCCCAATGCAAGGAAATCCAAAAAAAAGGTACAAGAAGTGAAGAGAGAAATATTCATGGAAATAGATAGCTTAAAAGAAATAAAAAATTTAGGAAACTCTGGACACACTTTTAGACATGCAAAATGCTCTGGAAAGTCTCAGCAATATAACTGAACAAGTAGAGGAAAGAAATTTAGACCTCGAAGACAAGGTCTTCAAATTAACCCAATCCAACAAAGACAAAAAAGAATACGAAAATATAAACAAAGCCTCCAAGAAGTCTGGGTTTATGTTAAACAACCAAACCTAAGAATAATCGGTGTACCTGAGGAAGAAGAGAATTCCAAAAGCCTGGAAAACATATTTGGGGGAATAATCAAGGAAAACTTCCCCAGCCCTGCAAGAGACCTAGACATCCAAATACAAGAAGCATAAAGAACACCTGGGAAATTCATTGCAAAGAGATCTTCACCTAGGCACATTGTCATCAGGTTATCCAAAGTTAAGACGAAGGAAAGAATCTTAAGAGCTGTGAGACAGAAGCACCAAGTAACCTGTAAGGGAAAATCTATCAGATTAACAGCAGATTTCTCAGGAGAAATCTTTTAAACTAGAAGAGATTGAGAACCTGTCTTCAGCCTCTTCAAATAAAACAATTATCAGCCAAGAATTTTGTATCCACCAAAACTAAGCATCATACATGAAAGAAAGATACAGTCATTTTCAGATAAACAAATGCTTAGAGAATTCACCACTACCAAACCACCGCTACGAGAACTGCTAAAAGGAGCTCTAAATCTTGAAACAAATCCCGGAAATACATCAAAACAGAACCTCTTTAAAGCATAAATCACACAGGACCTATAAAACGAAAATACAGGTTAAAAAGCAAAAACAAAGGCGGGGCACAGTGGCTCACGCCTGTAATCCCAGCACCTTGGGAGGCTGAGGCGGGCGGATCACAAGGTCAGGAGATCAAGACCATCCTGGCTAACACGGTGAAACCCCGTCTCTACTAAAAATACAAAAAATTAGCCGGGCATGGTGGCAGGCGCCTGTAATCCCAGCTACTCAGGAGGCTGAGGCAGGAGAATGGCGTGAACCCAGGAGGCAGAGATTGCAGTGAGCCAAGATTGTGCCACTACACTACAGCCTGGGCAACAGAGCGAGACTCCATCTCAAAAAAAAAAAAAAGGCAAAAACAAAAAACAAAGCCAAAGTACACAGGCAACAAATAGCACGATGAAAGCAATGGTACCTCACATTTCAATACTAACATTGAATGTAAATGGTCTAAATGCTTCACTTAAAAGACACAAAACTGCAGAATGGATAAGAACTCACCAACCAACTATCCGCTGCCTTCAGGAGACTCACCTAACACATAAGGACTCACATAAACTTAAAGGGGTGGAAAAAGGCATTTCATGCAAATGGACACCAAAAGTGAGCAGGGGAGCTACTTCAGACAAAACAAAACTTTAAAACAACAGTGGTTAAAAGAGACAAAGAGGAACAGTACATAATGGTAAAAGGCCTTGTCCAAAAGGAAAATATCACAATCCTAAATATATATGCACCTAACACTGGAGATCCCAAATTTATAAAACAATTACTAATAGACCTAAGAAATGAGATAGACAGCAACACAACAATAGTGGGGGAACTTCAATACTCCACTGACAGCACTGGACAGGTCATCAGGACAGAAAATCAACAAACAATGGATTTAAACTATACCTTGGAACAAATGGACTTAACAGATGTATACAGAATATTTATACATACATACAGTATATATAATATATATAATTATATTATATAGTATATCTAATATATAATACAGTGTAACATTTCGTCCACAAGCTCAGAATACACATTCTATTCAACAACACACGGAACTTTCTCCAAGATAGACCATATGACGGGCCACAAAACAAGCCTCAATAAATTTAAGAAAATTGAAATTATATCAAGCACTCTCTTGGACCACAGTGGAATAAAACTGAAAATCAACTCCAAAAGGAACTTTCAAAACCACGCAAATACACGGAAATTAAATAGCCTGCTCCTGAATGAGCACTGAGTCAAAAACAAAATCAAAATGGAAATTTAAAAATTCTTCCAACTGATGACAATAATGACACAACCTATAAAATAAAAACCTCTGGGATACAGCAAAGGCGGTGCAAAGAGGAAAGTTCATAGCCCTAAACGCCTACATCAGAAAGTTTGAAAGAGCACAAACAATCTAAGGTCACACCTCAAGCAACTAGAGAAACTAGAACAAACCAAAAACCAAACACAGCAGAAGAAAGGAAATAACCAAGATCAGAGCAGAACTAAATGAAATCGAAACAAAACAAAACAAAATACAAAAGATAAATTAAACAAAAACCTGGTTCTTTGAAAAGATAAATAAAATTGATGAACCATTGGTAAGATTACCCAAGAAAAGAAGAGAGAAAATCCAAATAACCTCACTGAGAAACGAAACAGGAGATATTACAACTGACACCACTGAAATACAAAAGATCATTCAAGCCTACTACGAACACCTTTACTCACATAAACTAGAAAATCTACAAGAAATGGATAAATTCCTGAGAAAATACAACCCTCCTAGCTTAAATCAGGAAGAATTAGATACCCTGAACAGACCAATAACAAGCAGCAAGATTGAAATGGTAATTTAAAAATTACCAACAAAAAAAAGTCCAGGACCAGACGGATTCACAGCAGAATTCTACCAGACATTCAAACAAGAATTAGTACCAATCCTTTTGACACTATTCCACAAGATAGAGAAAGAAGGAACCCTCCCTAATTCATTCTATGAAGCCAGTATCACCCTAATACCAAAACCAGGAAAGGACATAACCAAAAAAGAAAACTACAGATCAATATCCTTGAGGAACATAGATGCTAAAATCCTTGACAAAATACTAGCTAACCAAATCCAACAACATATCAAAAAGATAATCCACCATGATCAAGTGGGATTCATACCAGGGATGCGGGGATGGTTTAACACTCAAGTCAATAAGTGTGATACACAACATAAACAAAATTAAAAACAAAAATCACATGATCACCTCAATAGATGCAGAAAAAAAATTTGACAAAATCCAGCATCCTTTTATGATTAAAACTCTCAGCAAAATCAGCATACAAGGGTTACACCTCAATGTAATAAAAGCTACCTATGACAAACCCACAGCCAACGTGATACTGAATGGAGAAAAGTTGAAAGCATTCCCTCTGAGAACTGGAACAAAACAAGGATGCCCACTCTCACCACTCCTCTTCAACATAGTACTGGAAGTCCTAACCAGAGCAATCAGACAAGAGAAAGAAATAAAGGGCATCCAAATCGGCAAAGAGGAAGTCAAACTGTCACTTGTTTGCTTACGATATGACTGTTTACCTTGAAAACCCTAAGGACTCCTCTAGAAAGCTCCTAGAACTGATAAAAAGAATTCAGCAAAATTTCTGGATACAAGATTAATGTACACAAATCAGTAGCACTTCTGTACACCAACAGCAACCAAGCAGAGAATCAAATCAAGAACTCAACCACTTTTACAATAGGTGCAAAAAATAAAATAAAATACTTAGGAATATACCTAACAAAGGAGTTGAAAGACCTCTACAAGGAAAACTACAAAACATTGCTGAAAGAAATCACAGATGACACAAACAAGTGGAAACAAGATCCCATGTTCATGGATGGATAAAATCAGTATTGTGAAAATGACCATACTGCCAAAAGCAATGTACAAATTCAATGCAATCTCCATCAAAATACCACCATCATTCCTCACAGTTATAAAAAACAATTCTAAAATTCACATAGAACTAAAAAGAGCCCACACAGCCAAAGCAAGACTAAGCAAAAATAACATTTTATAATGTGACTTTATTAAACGTTTTGTTATATTGTATTTATTCAATGTGGCATAGTTTTTTAAATGGAAGAAATGGGTACAAACTCTAACACTGTAATTTACTAGGATAATAAATTTTAACCTATCAGAGACTCCATTTCCCTTGACGTAGAATGTGGCATTTAGTCCCTAGCTTAAGGGGTCTTATGGGAATTGAATAAGGGAAAAAAAATGCAAAATGCCTTCTTCGGTGCTTAACAAAATGTCATGCAACAAAAAATATACATTCCCCTTACCTTTCTCCATATATATCTATCTTGCCTAACAGACTGAGGGGATTCCCTGAGGGAAAGATATGAAAGTAGTATGTACTTAACAGTCCTTGGTACCCAGAACAAAATAAGCATTTATTGTAAATATGTGTTGAATGAGTGAATGGGTGATTGTCTTTCTTATGCTGAAGTTAAACAATTTTATTTGCCATTGCCTGAATAATCCTTATGACTGCTGCATCTGCATTTTTGCAAATACCATTCTCTCCACCTAAAATTGCCATCCCTTTAACCTACTATGAAAATTCAAGGTTCTCCTCAAAAAAAGTCTCCTCTGACTTTAAAGCCTTCTAAAATCATCCTAGCAAGACTCTACCTTGTCTTCCTCTAAGTTAAATTCTTATACAATCTACTTAGGCTTTGAAGTGTTTATTATGTTTTTATTATGTGTTTTTTATTCTCTTCAATTATATATACAATATGTCTGTTATTTTATTCAAAGGTCATCAGACACAGAGGCTGTGAGTTATCTGTCCTTGTAATACCACAAATGTTAACAGTGGGCTTCAATGAATAGATTCTTTGGATCACTGCATTTTGCTTTATTGTATAAAGTCTATTTGTTTATTAATTTTCTTTTCATAGAATATGAGCAATGTGACTGTGTTGTATGTAATACATATAGCTAGCAATAATCCTGCTTAAAATAATATTTCCTTTGTTGCATATATGGTTTTGTTTATTCTGGGCATCAGAGGTTTGTCTGTAACAGATCAGCAAAGTCCATCTAACCTAGTTATAAATAGATATAATCTGTGAACTACTTTATTATGCTTATAATTTGACAATGACCAAAATAAAATATTAACTTATAAAACAGTGACTCCTGTATAAGTATCTCTAGCTCTGAGATACACTCTAGGCATTTGAAATATAACATGTCCAGGCCAGTGGCTCACGCCTGTAATCCCAGCACTTCGGGAGGACGAGGAGGGCGGATTACGAGGTCAGGAGATCGAGACCATCCTGGCTAACACGGTGAAACCCGGTCTCTACTAAAAATACAAAAAATTAACCGGGCGTGGTAGCGGGCGCCGGTTGTCCCAGCTACTCGGGAGGCTGAGGCAGGAGAATGGCGTGAACACGGGAGGCGGAGTTTGCAGTGAGCCGAGATCGCGCCATGGCACTCCAGCCTGGGCCACAGAGCAAGATTCCGTCTCAAAAAAAAAAAAAAAAAACCAAAAACTAAGAAATATAACATGTCCAAAATAGAAACCTTGATTTTCTTATCCCCAAACTACTTCTCTTCAAGTGTTCCCCATCTCAGGTAGTGGCATCAACATACACTCACATCCAGCCCCCTAGTGAATTCTATCAGCTCTATATTCAAAATTTACTCTAAGTCTGACCACTTCCACTGCTACCGCCCTGGTCCAAGCCATCATCATCTCACATAGGCTACTGCAATGGCTTCCCAAATCACATCTCTGACTCCTCTTTCATCTTCCTACAATTCCTTCTCTGCATAGCAGCCAAAGTGTTTTTAGAAGAGTATATACTGAAGTTATAAAACAGGTAAAAACGAATTAATGTTGCTTTAAAAATTAGAACAGTGGCTGCCCATGTGGAGGAAGAGTTACAGCAGGTATCAACGGGAATGGGGAATGAGGGAACTTTTCTGAGGTCATGTTAACGTTCTATATCGCAGTAGCAAGTTGAGTGACAAAGGGATGTGTTTGTCAAAACTGAATAATTAGGATTATGAATTTATTGTATATAAATTTTAAATTAAAAGAAAAAACCATAAACAAATATTAAACTCTAGTTAATGATACACATGCTAAAGTACTTAGAGAAAAGTGTACGATATCTGCAATGTACTTTAAAAGCATCCACAAATGACATGGATTTAGTGGGAGGATAGAGCAATGAATAGAAACATAGATATGAGGCTGGGCGCGGTGGCTCACACCTGTAATCCGAGCACTTTGGGAGGCTGAGGCGGGCGGATCACCTGAGGTCAGGAGTTAGAGACCAGCCTGGCCAACATGGTGAAACTCCATCTCTACTAAAAACACAAAATTAGCTGGGCATGGTGGTGCATGCCTGTAATCAATCCTAGCTACTTGGGAGGCTGAGGCAGGAGAATCGCTTGAACTCAGGAGGTGCAAGTTACAGTGAGCTGAGATCGCCCCATTGCACTCCAGCCTGGGCGACAAGAGCGAAATGGAAGGGGAAGGGGAAGAAGAAGAAAAGAAGGAGGAGAAGGAAGGAAGGAAATAAACCTAGTAAAATGTTAGTGGTAAAATCTAGTTGGTTGGTATGTGATGTTCAATGTAAAATTCTTTCAGTTTTGCTTTATGTTTGAAATTTTTCATAATACAGTGTTGAAAAAACTGTATAAAACCTGTCAAGAATGCAGCTCTTGAATGAATGTTGTAGGAGTGTATGAGGCAAGGGTAGAAATTGGATGAAAAATTGTATTATAAATTATCTTAAACAGACTTTAGGAAAAAGTTCTAGTTTAAAAGGGCAAAACTTTTTAATAGGTTATTTACAACTCTTACAAGAGAGAAATCAAAAATAAATTTTAATGGTCCCTGTGAAACTTAATTTCCTATACTGAATGCTTTTCAGGGTTTCCATTGCTATTCCTGCGGGATGGGTAAAAGGGAGGAGAAGGAAAGGAGAAATGAAATACATCAGAAGATTGACTAGAATCAGGTTGTAATGTAGTAAGAAAAAAAGAAAACAGCAATTTTTGGCATAATGTGCTGTTTGTGATATTCCTTCATATATTCTTGGCTATTTCTGAGGGGATTACTGATTCCTCAGGCATATCAGATTGTACAAACCTTAGCAAAAAGAAATTTTCTCCTACATTTATTCTGCAATTTCACCTTTTCAATGCAATGAAAACAATGAATTTTTTGATAATGCCATTTCTATATATCCACATGATAATCTCTTATAAATCTTATAACATTGCTACAAGATTGATATATAATAACAAAGGCTAAATGAGGGGATCGATACCCCATCTTCCATGATGTGGTTATTATACATTGCATGTCTGTATCAAAACATCTTATGACCCCATTAATATATATACCTACAGTGTACTAACAAAAATTAAAAATTAAAAATGAATTTATACACAATTACACAATCATTCACATTTCCCAAGGCCTTTTCTAATCCGGAACCTTAATAAAAATTAAAAAGCTGAAGTTCAATTCAAGTAATCTCTAAATTGGCTGAACTGTTTCCTATGCTACTCATATTCTCACACCAGATGTGGGACACAAAATGATTTAACATGTGAGGCAATACTGGTTAAGGACAATGTAAGTAAACAGTATTTGTATTATAATAATGATTCAGGTAGTTACAGAATACAAATGTTAATATGCATGTCATAATGTGTAAGATTATTTTAAAATGGGAAGTGAGACTTTACTCAATATAGTGAGCACCTCTAGTATTAGTGATGAAAGGACTACTAAGTTTTACACTTCTGATCAAAAGCTTTAAATTGCAAAGCATTTTTTAAATAGCAAAAATGCATAATTCAGTCACTGAGTAACAAACAAGAGAAATTATTGAAAACAATTAATCAAGACAATTAAATGGCAAAGACTATGAATCATATTTATCTTGGTTCAGAAGGAAAATATGTCTTGAGAAAAACATGCAGATTTAGATATCTCTGTGTTTAAAGTCTTTAACTTTCTTATATGGTAAACTGAAATTCTGGAAAAGAAGCTAACTTAAAAAAACAGTGGAAAAAGAGAAGTAAAACAATTTTATATAAAAGGCACAAGACAAACTCTATATTTCTTAGCTTTGAGTTAGGCTGGAAAATTTTACCACATTTTGAAACTAGTTATCTTACCGTAACAGTGAAATTATTAAAAGTCCTAAGAATGATTGAGCAGACATATATAGTGTATGCAAAACTGCATTATGTTTCAATATGTGTGTATATTATGACATTAGTATTTGCTTTAAATCTCTTCTCTAAGATACTGAATTATGAAAGACAGAATTTACTTTATTCTTATTTATTTATTTTGGAGACAGAGTTTCACTCGTTTCCCAGGATGGAGTGCGATGGCGCAATCTCAGCTCACAGCAACCTCAGCCTCCCAGGTTCAAGTGATTCTCCTGCCTTAGCCTCCTGAGTAGCTGGGATTACAGGCATCCGCCACAACGCCGGGCTAATTTTGTATTTTTAGTAGAGATGGGGTTTCTCCACTGTTGGCAGGCTGGTCTGGAACTCCGGACCTCAGGTGATCTGCCCATCTCGGCCTCCCAAAGTGCAGGGATTACAGGCGTGAGCCACCATGCCCAGCCTCCTTTTTATTTTTATAATATGAAAATAAAAATGATAATTGTCAGAATAAACTTCTCTATACAGATACTACAGAAGATACCTTCCTTTTTGTTCTTTTATGTCTGTCATTCAGTCTAGATTTTGCAGTCTTATTTGGCAGGCACACTTAAATTTCAAAATCTAGAACTTATAAAAAGTGGTTTTCAATAAATATTTTTAAATACTTTTAAATGTTTACAATAAAGTATATCACTTTTTAAAATTAATATATAAGTATATAAGCATATTTATAAATAAGCAAAATATAATGGTAAAATGAGTATCTAAAAGGAAATATGGAAGTTGGTCTAAGAATGTCATAATGCTTCCTACACAGACTATTTATTACAGTTTTTAATAAATGAAGCATAGTCTGCTCTTCATAATGAATAATCTTATTATATTTTAATATCATATAGCATAGTGTTTATTTTCTAAAATGCTTTTCATAGAGTAAAAATGCCATCAATTAAAACAGAAGGCAAAAATCGATGGAATACTATCTTAGATTGTTTAAGCAAAAGCAATGAAAACTAGAATTGTGTATAAAACTATCTTCCAAGAGAGAAGGCAATATAAAGACATTTTTGGAAAAAAATGATTTTTTTTAACACCCAGAAAACTCTCGAAAGAAAGAAACTGTCCCTTAATAAAACGAATGGAATGGAAATCACTTTTCATAGAAAATAAGGACATTGATAAATAATATGGGTAAATCCAAACTGTCACTGACTTTGTAAAAAAGGGCAATTAGGGGACTTAAAAACAAAATAAAAATGAAATCTAAGATACAAATAACATGGAATATGATGAGAGGGGTTAGAAATCAGAGATAAACATTTTGAAGTCCTTCAGGACTTCAATTCAGGAGGATTACAAATAGATTAAGTAGAGATCGCATTAAGTTAAACATCCATCTTAAAAATTGCAACAATCTGTATGTGTGTGTGTAACTTTGTGCACAAATAGTAGAAACTGTTAAAATCCAATGAAATGTTTATAAAACTAAGGATGCATTGGGAAAGAAAACAAGTCTCATTGAATACCAAAGAATCAGTATCATTCAAATCACAACCTGTGTCCAAAATACAACATATTAGAAATTCATATTGAAAAGAGAAACTTGAAAAATATCTTCTTTTTTTTTTTTTTTTTTTTTTTTGAGACAGAGTCTTGCTCTGTCGCCAGGCTGGAGGGCAGTGGTGCGATCTTGGCTCACTGCAACTTCCACCTCCCAGGTTCAAGCAATTCTCCTGCCTCAGCCTCCCGAGTAGCTGGGACTACAGGCATGCACCACCACACCCAGCTAACTTCTGTATTTTTAGTAGAGACGGGGTTTCACCATGTTGGCCAGGATCTCAATCTCCTGACCTTGTGATCCGCCTGCCTTGGCCTCCCAAAGTGC